>NC_000002.12:22509755-22661270 GCF_000001405.40 Homo sapiens | reverse complement strand
ATATTTTTAAAATATTGATTTGAGAAATATTGTATATAGTCAAGGTGTACAATGAGATGATTTGACATACATATAATGTTGTGATGATTATTGTGATCAAATTTATTAAGATATCTATCACCATCCATGCTGTACCTTTGATTTCCAGAACTTCTTAATCTTATAATTGAAAGTTTGTAGCCTTTGATCAACACCTCCTCATTCCAACCACCACTAGCTTCTGGTAACTACTATCCTACTCTCTGCTTCTATGAGTTTGACTTTTTTCGATGCCACATACAAGTGAGATTATAGCAGTATTTGTTTTTTGTGTGTGTCTGGCTTATTTCACTTGATATAATGTCTTCCAGATTTGTCCATGTTGTCACAAATGAAGGAATATCCTTGTTTTTTATAGCTAAATAGTATTCTATTGTGTCTGTGTGTGTGCATACAAACACACACCCAAACATACCACTTTTTATTTATCCATTAATCTTTTGATTGACATGTGTTGTTTTCATAATTTGGCTATTGTGAATAATGCTGCAGTGAACATTGGGGTACAGATATCTCTCAAGATAGTGATTTTATTTCCTTTGGACATATACCCAGAAATGGGATTGGTGGATCATATGGCAATTCTATTTTTAATTTTTTTGAGGAGCCCCCATACTGATTTCCACAATAGCATACAAGGGTTAATTTTTCCTACATCCTTCATTACCACTTGTCTCTTGCCTTATTGATAATAGCCATCCTGACAGGTATGAGGTGATATCTCATTATGTTTTCTATTTGCACTTTTTTTCTGATGATTAGTGGTATTGAGCACCTTTTTATATACCTTTGGCCATTTTTTATCTCTTCTTTGGAAAAATATCCACTTAGTACTTTGCCCATTTTTATTTTTTATTTTATTTTTTGCCACTGAGTTGTGTGATTTCTTTATGTATTTTTTATGTTAATCCCTTATCAGACATAGGGTTTCAAATATTTTCTTTCATTCCACAGGATGCCTTTTCATCTCATTGATTGTTTCCTTTGCTCTGCAGAAGCTTTTAAATTTGATGTTGTTTCCACCTGTTTATTTTTGCTTTTGTTGCTTGTGCTTTTGGTGTCATAGCCAAAAAATCATTGCCAAGACCAATGTCAAGGAGCTTTTCCCCTTCCTTATGTTCTGGGAGTTTTATAGTTTCAGATCTTACCTTTAAGTGTTTAATTAATTTTAAATTAATATTTATATATGATGCAAGACAAAGTTCTAATTTTATTCGTTTGGGAGCTTTTCTTCTGGGATCAGAAATAAGGCAAGTATGCCTACTCTTGACACTTTTATTCGACATGGTACTGGAAGTCCTAATCAGAGCAATTAGGAGAAAACAGAGAGAGAGAGAGAGAGAGAGAGAGAGAGAGCATTCAAGTTGATTTAAGTTCGAAAGGAAGAAGGTAAACTGTCTCTGTTTGCAGATGACGTACTCTTACACATAGAAAACCCTAAAGACTCTACCAAAAAATTGTCAGAACTAATAAATGAATTAAGTAAAGTTTCAGGATATAAAATACACAAAAATAAGTTTAACTTGCTGTATACTAACATAAACTATTTAAAAAAGAAAGAAAACTATTCCATTAATAATAGCATCAAAAATAATAAAATACTTAGGAATACATTTAACAAAGGTGGTGAAAGATTTGTAGAGTGAAAACTGTAGAATATTAGTGAAAAAATTGAAGTAGATATAAATAAATGAAAATCCAGTGTTTCTGAACTGAAAGAATTAATATCATAGTAATGTACATACTACCCAAAGTGATTCAAAGGGATCTCTATCAAAATTCCAATGGCATTTTTAACAGAAATAAAAGTAAACTCTAAAATTTGTGTAAAACCACAAAGAACCCAAATAGCCAATGCAATTTTGAGAACAAAACTGAAGACATCACATTTCCTGATTTCACACTATATTACAATGCTATAGTAATCAAAACCATATGGCACTGCCATAAAAATGAAACATAGTCCAATGGAACAGAACAGAGCCTGGAATAAACCCATGCATATTTGGTCAACTGATCTCTGACAAGGGTGCCAACAATATACAACAGGAAACAGTACCTTTAATAAATGCTACTGAGTAATCGGGGGTATAAGATGGAAAAATGTAAATACTGTTGGGAAAACTGAATATTCACTTGCAAAACTAGGAAATTTGATTCTTGTTTTCATATGCTTTACCATCCATATATATTCCTTGTCAAGGTGTCTGTTCAGATATTGTCCATTTTTCAATTTAATTTTTTTCTTAATGTTATTTTAAGAGTTCTCTGTATATTTGAGGCACAAGTTCATTTTCAGTTACGTGTTTTGCAAGAATTTTCTCCTAGTCTGTGCTTGTATTTTCATTTGATGAGCCATATCTTTTGCAGAGAATAATTTTAAAAATTGTAATAAAACCTAATGTATCAAATTTTTCTTTGATAGGTCATATTTTTGGTGTTGTGTCTAAAAAATGTCACCAAACCCATGGTCATATAGATTTTCTATTTTTTTCTCGAAGCTTTAGTTTTGCACTTTACATTTTAGTGTATGAGTTAATTTTTGTGAAGATATAAGACTTTTTTTCTGCAAATGAACATTCAATTGTTCCAGCACAATTTGTTGAAAAGATTATCTTTTCCCGTTGTCTTTGCGCCTTTGTCAAAATCACTTGGCTATATTGTGTGGCTGTATTATTTCCAGGCTTTCTATTCTGTTTTATTTATATATGTATTTACTTTATTTTAGACTGTCTTGATTATTATAACTTTATATTGTCTTACTATAAGGCTGCTTATGTCCTCCACACAAATGTTTTCATTTTCCAGTTTATATAATAGTTGTTTACACTATACTGTAGTCTATTAAATGTACAATGGCAGTATGTCAAAAAAATAATGCATATACCTTAAGTAAAAATACTTTATTGCCGGAAGTTGCTAATGATCACCCAGTATTTCAGTGAGTTATAATCTTTTTGCTGGTGGAGGGTCTTGCCTTGATGTTGATATTTGCTGGCTGATCAGGGTGGTGGTTGCTAAAGATTGGGGTAGCTGTGGCAATTTTTAAAAATAAGACAACAGTGAGGTATGTTGCATCGATGGACTCTTTCTTTCATAAAAGATTTCTCTGTAGCATATAAGGCTATTTGATAGCATTTAACCCACAGTAGAACTTCTTTCAAAAGTGGAGTCAGTCCTCTCAAACTGCTGCTGTTTGGTCAACTAAGGTTATATAATATTCAAAATCCTTTGTTGTCATTTCAGTGTTCACAGGATCTTTATCAGGAGTAAATTTGATCTCAACAAACCACTTTTTTAGCTCATCCATGGAAGGAATTCCTCTTCTGTTAACTTTTTTTTCTTTTTTCAGAGATAGGATCTTACTCTGCCATGCAGGCTGGAGTGCAGTGGCGTGAGTATAGCTCTCTGCATCCTCAAACTCTGGGCTCAAGTGATCCTCCTTCTTCAGCCTTCTGAGTAGCTGGGGCTATGAGCATGTGCTCATAGCACATGCCTGGCTAATCATTCAAATTTTATTATGAGGTTGCAGCAATGCAGGCACATTTTCGGCCTCTACTTCTAGTTCTATTTCTGTTACTATATCTGCCACATATGTTGTTACTTTCTCCACTGAAGTCTTGAACCTCTCAAAGTCATCCATGAAGGATGGAATCAACTTCTTCTATAATCTTATGAATGTTGATATTTTGACCTTTTTCTGGGAATCATTAATGTTTTTAATGACATCTACAATGGCGAATCCTTTCCAGAAGGTTTTCAATTTATTTTGCCCAGATCCATCAGAGGAATCATATCTATGGAAGCTATAGCCTTTTGAAATGTATTTCTTAAGCAATAAGACTTTAAAGTTGAAATTACTCCTTGATTTATGGACTGCAGAATGGATGCTGTGTTAGGAAGCATGACAACAATATTAATATCCTTATACAACTTTGACCTCTTGAGTGACCAAGTATGTTGAAAATGAGCAGTAATACTTTAAAAATCTTTTTATATGAGTAGTAGGTCTCAACAGAGAGCTTAAAATCTTCAGTGAACTATCCTGTAAACAGGTGTGTGGTCATCTACACTTCATTGTTTCATTCATAGAGCACAGGTAGTGTAATTTTAGCATAATTCTTTTTTGTTTGTTTTTATTTTTTTTGAGATGGTGTTTTGCTCTCATGGCCCAGGCTGGAGTACAGTGGCATGATTTCGGCTCATCGCAACTTCCGCCTCCCGGGTTCAAGCGAATTCTCCTGCCTCAGCCTCTCGAATAGCTGGAATAACAGACATGCACCACCACGCCCAGCTACTTTTGTGTTTTTAGTAGAGACGGGGTTTCTCCATGTTGGTCAGGCTCGTCTCAAACTCCCGACCTCAGGCTGGAGTTGAACTCCTGACCTCAGGTGATCCCCCTGCCTCAGCCTCTCAAAGTGCTGAGAATACAGGCGTGAGCTACCATGCCTGGCCAGCTTTAGCATAATTCTTAAGGGCTTTAGAATTTTCACAATGGTAAATGGGCACTGGCTTCAACTAAGAGTTGCCAGCTCCATTAGCCCCTAAAGAGTCAGCCTGTGCTTTGAAGCTTTGAAGCCAAGCATTGACTTTTCCTCTTAGCAATGTAAGTCCTAGATGGCATTCAAGAGAAGGCTGCTTTGTCTGCCCTGCAAATGTGTTGTCTAGTGTAGCCAATTTCATCAATTATCTTTGCTTGGTCTTCTGGATAATTTGCTGCAGCTTCTACATCAACTCTTACACCCTCACCTTGTACTTTTTGTTATGGAAATGACTTATTTCCTTAAACCTTATTAATTAGCCTCTGCTAGCTGCCAAATTTTCTTCTGCAGCCACCTCACCCCTCTCAGCCTTCATAGAATTGGAATGAGATAGGGCCTTTTACTGGACTAGGCTTTGGATTAAGGGAATGTTGTGGCTGGTTTGATCTATACAGACAATTAAAACTTCCTCCATATCATCAATAAGGCTATCATTTATCATTATCATTTATATTTCACTGAAGTAGATCTTCTAATTTCCTTCAAAAATTTTTCTTTTGCATTCACAACTTGGCTGTTTGGTGTAAGAGGCCTAGTGTTCACCCTGACTCAGCTTTCAATATGCCTTCCTCACTAAGCTTAATCATTTCTAGCTTTTGATTTAGTGACAGAAATGCAACTCTTCCTTTCACTTGAATACTTACAGCCCTCTTTAGGCTCATTAATTGGCCTAATTTGATATTGTTGCATGTCAGGAAATGAGGAGAACTGAGGAGAGTGTTGGTGGAGCAGTCAGAACACTCATATTTTTCTATTAAGTTACTGTCTGTATTAGCCTATTCTCACGTTGCTATTAAGAAATACCCGGCGGTGCAGTGGCTCACGCCTCTAATCCCAGGACTTTGGGAGGCCAAGGTGGGCAGATCACCTGAGGTCAGGAGTTCGAGACTAGCCTGGCCAACATGGTGAAACCCCGTCTCTACTAAAAATATGAAAATTAGCCTGGTGTGGTGGCATGCGTCTGTAATCCCAACTACTCAGGAGGCTGAGGCAGGAGAATCTCTTGAACCTGGAGGCAGAGGTCGCAGTGAGCTGAGATTGCACCACTGCCCTCTAGTCTGAGCGATAGACTGAGACTCTGTGTCAAAAAAAAAAAAAAAGAAAGAAAAAAAAAGAAATACCCCAAGACTGGGTAATTTATAAAAGAAATAGATTTAATTGACTCACAATTCTGTATGACTGGGGAGGCCTCAGGAAACTTACAATCATAGTGGAAGGGGGAGTAGAAAGGTCCTTCACATGGCAGCAGGAGAGAGAAGTGCCGAGCAAAGGGGGAAAAGCCCCTTATAAAACCATCAGATTTTATGAGAACTCACTATTACAAGATCATCATGAGGGTAACTGCCCCCATGATTCAATCCCCTCCTACCAGGACCCTCCCATGACACATGGGAATCATGGGAACTATAATTCAAGATGAGATTTGGGTGGGGACACAGCCAAACCATATCATTCCTTCTCTGGCCCCTCTCACATTTCAAAATGCAATAATGTCATTCCAATAGTTCCCCAAAGTCTTATTCTAGCATGAACTCAAAAGTCTAAGACCAAAGTCTCATCTGAGAGAAGGCAAGTCCCTTCTGCCTATGAGTCTATAAAATCAAAAGCAAGTTAGTTACTTCCTGGATGCAATGGGGGTACAGACATCAGGTAAATACACCCATTCCAAATGGGATAAATTGGCCAAAATCAAGGGACTACAGATCCCACACAATTCTGAAATCCAATAGGGTAGTCATTAAACCTTATAATGCCAAAATTATCTCCTTTGACCCCATATCTCACATCCAGGTCATGCTGATGCAAAAAGTGTGCTCCCACAGCCTCAGGCAGCTCTGACCCTGTGGCTTTGCTGGATACAGACCCCTTACTGGCTGCTTTTACAGGCTGGCATTGAGTGTCTGTGACTTTTCCAGGCACATGGTGCATGCTGTCAGTGAATCTACCATTCTGGGGTCTGAAGGAGTGTCCCTCTTCTCACAGGTCCACTAGGAGTGCTCCAGTTGGGACTCTTTGTGGGGACTCCAACCCCATATTTTCCTTACCCACTGCCCTAGTAAAGGTTCTCCATGAGGAGTCTGCCTTTGCAGCAACCTTTGGCCTGGGCACCCAGACATTTCCATACATCCTCTGAAATCTAGGAGGTGGTTCCCCAACCTCAATTCTTGACTTCTGTGCACCCGTAGGCCCAACACCATGTGTAAGCTGCCAAAGCTTGGGTCTTGCACCCTGTGAAGCAATGGCCTGAGCCATACCTTGGCCCCTTTTAGCCATGGCTGGAGCTGAAGCAGCTGGGATGCAGGGCACCATGTCCTGAGGCTGCATAGACAGGGGGCCCTGGGACCAGCCTCCAAAACCATTTTTCCCTCCTAGGCCTCAGGGCCTGTGATGGGTGGGGCTGCTGTGAAGGTCTTGGACATGCTCTGGAGTCATTTTCTCTATTAATGTGTGTGTCTGAATGGATTTTCTTATTTGGTAGGTGGTACGTTGGTTTATCCATAGGTAAATCAAGTCCAGGATCCTTCCAGCTTACTCAGTTACCATCATTTATCTACCTTGTGTTTCTTTCATTTATCATAGAAGGAGGGAAGAGAACATGGGGCAAGCACACTTGCTTCTTAAGAGCCTTGGCCCACAATTACATATATCACAACCAATCACATTTCATTATCTTAACTCTGTCATATGGTCATACCTATTTGCATGGGAGGAGATGGCGGCTGTGAAATATTATATAGCTTCTTGTCCAGGAAATGGAGACAACATGAATTGGGGTAAGCACTTGCATTCTCTATCACAGATGTATTATATACATTTTAACAGTTATTTTATTCTTAGCAATTGTGTATTAATTTAATTTTTATTTAATTTTACTATAGTGAGAAACCTTGCTAAATGCTTGAGATTTACTGAGTTACTTAGTTAATTATCATATTTTATTGATTATAAATTAATTGTTTTTCTGATTTCCAATCCCTGAAATTGGACTATGTATAGCAATTCATGGCTATTAACCAGTGGTAACTTTTTTTTCTTGGTATTCCTTAAAATAATGGAACATCTTATAAACAACTTTAGATATGGTAAAAAAATTGTAGTGCATTATCAGTCTTAGGAGTGTTACATGTAATGGGAAGTAATATATATTATTTATTTGTTAGATAAAGGATTATCTCTATAAAAATTAGATCAAGCTTGTTAACATTGTTTTTCAAAAATCTTACATTATTTCTATTTGTTTGTATAAATAATCTGTTCCTGAAAAAATAATTAGAATCTCTTTCTATGATTAACATTCTTTTTCAATTTCTATTTAGTTATATAATTTTGCTTTGTAATTTCTGCCCTTATAGACCATTAAAGCTAAAAATTGTTTTCTTTGTAGTGAATATACTTCTAATAATATATAGTGTTTCACTTTACAGCCATTAATACTTTTGTCTTGTATTTTTCTTCCTGATATTAATGCTGCTCTACATGTTTGCTTTTGAGTGTGTCTGCCCTTTTATATATTTTTCTATCCTTCTCTATTGAACTTTCTGTTTCATTTTCTTCTAAAGTTAACTCTTTAAACTGTTCATCTGAATTAAAAATATTTTTATTATTGTATGAAAATAGGTATATATTCCATTTATATTTGTAAGATTGCTACTATATTTGAATATTGTATAACCTTATTTTATGTTTTTCAGTGTATCATCCCTAAAAATCAGACTGACTCTTATAATCAATGATACTTATTTTCTGCCTTCTGGGGTTGAGTTGGCTTTTATTACACTGCTTCCATCATAGCACTTAAAACATTGCAGAATAATTTATTTGTTTACATCTGTCTACTTGCATGAACATTATGCTCTTTCCTTGTAGGAAAACTGGCTAATTTATCTTGGTTTTTGGAGCAATGTGTGGCAACTGGAAATACTCGACAAAGATTTGAATCATCTTCAGCCATACCACCCTGGACGTGCCTGATTTTGTCTGATCTCAAAAGACTTGTTGAATGAATGAATGAATGAATGAATGAGTGAATGCATGAAGAAGTGGTATTTACAAATATACAATGTGGCCGTTATATCTCTATTCTGAACTCCTTTTGACTCCATTGTTCAGCTTTGTGGTGTGCAGTAACTGTGTGTAGTATGACCTGTAAAAATGCAGAAAAAACATCCATCTGTCTGTCTGCCACAGGGGAGTCAGATTTGTCACTTTCTTTATTTGCTGCTCCATGAAATCCTTCTTCATTTTTCTTTGCTTTATCCATTTAATGTGCTTTCTATCTCTCCAGGTGCTATGAATCATGCTTTTCCTTTCTTCTGGCTCTGCTTGGAAAATTGGTCAGTGTCTTTGCTGATACCTTGTATTTGGGGCTTTGTACCATAGGTCGTGATTGATTTACCACATTTGAGTATTTGCATTTTGTATTCATCCTTTGATGTTTCTTTGTTTTTCTTTGTAGCTGGGTTTGCTCTAATGCAAGTAGGATTAACATCTTCAAACACTTATATCTGAATTCTCCTGAGGCCCTCCTGATCCTTTACTTAAAAATTTCTTCAGTGAGGTTCACTTGCCTTTCATGCAGGAGATTTGTTGGATGAAGAAAGCTGTTGAGTATTACAGAGACTCTCACTCTTGACTTTGGATATCTTTGTCATTGGATATCCCCAGAAAGGATAAATGATTATTTAGTCACCATGTGGAGATTTGGGTTTTCTTGGCCTGTAACAGTTGACCCAAAAATCAATCTTGCGAGCCTTTCATCCTTGGTGGAAATATGCTGCAGATTGTAAAAGATCCTGTCTATACTGTGTATCTGGATGAATTGTGTTTCCTGAAAAGGATTTAGGAATATGAGGTAGTAAACCTTCAACTTTGCAAATTTCAGACACTCATTTATGTAATACATTTATTAGGAACATGCTATGTGCTAAAAATGTAGTACTTACTTGGGTTATAGGATGAATAAGACATGGTCCCTGTCTGCAGATGAATATTTGGTATAGGTAAGAAAATAGAGGTATTATAATAACTGTAATGTGTTGTGTCACTCTCATGATGGAGGCACGCACATGGAGCTCCCCAGTCTCCTCCTACTTCTTTGTGCTGCCCCAGCCTTTCTTCAGCCTGGCTCACCATCAATCTGGACCCTTTGGACTTGGACATAAAATATTTTGGAATTGACTTAAAATTAATCATTTTAAAAGATAATGAAGGGAAAGTGTAGTTATCACATTCAGTAAATGAACAGAAATGGGGAAGGAATAAGACAGTAGAGGTATCTCAGTGTTAATTTTATTGCCCACCTCCCACCTTCCCCCACCCCTTCCCAAGAAAAGTGACTATTTCAAAACTGGAAGCCTAGAGCTGTACCCAAAGGTCATGGTGGGGAACCTAGTAATTCTCATTTTAGCATTTAAGTCTAACTGGCATATGTTCCTGGCAATCTTATTGCATAAATTAAGTTTTAAATAAATGAAGTAGGAAACATTCTCAAAAAATGAGGACATTCAAATTTAGAACTTTAAAACTGAGCATCATTTTTTGACCCCTAAACAAATTGCCTTTCTGTTTATAGAGTATGCTTCCATGTATCTGCTTATAAATTGAAGAATAAATGCCTGGAAAATCATTCCAGGTTCTTCAATAGAGGTGGAGGAAGAAAGAGAAGCACATCTTTGGAAGAGTCAACGGGGGATAAATGCAGTGTGAGAATTTTGAGTGAATGTAATAAACTGTTGGTAGTCTATGGAATTCAAGCACAGAGCAATGTCAATATAATTGCTGTGCTTGCAAGGCAAGACATGCTAAAGGCAATAGGAGTCCATGTAAGAAATACCTGGCCCTTTGAGTCGATGCGATTAGAGGACTGGCTCCCAGACTTCTGTTGCCTCTTTCCAGGGAGGTGACAGATATACCTTATAGGTTATCAATCAATAATACTATTAAATGCAAATATTTATTGTCCTCTGACTATGGGCTAGGCACTGTTCTAAGCTCTAATACATATTAAGTCACTTAATAATTGCAACAACTCCAAGAAAAGGGGTTATTATCCCCCCTTGTAAATAAGGACAGAGAGGATAAATGATTAGCCTAAGGTCTACACAGCTGAAAGATGGACCAGCCAGGACTTACCCCAAGGAAGCCCAACTTCAGAGTCCACTATGAATAATTAACTTCTACCTAAACAATCTAGTGATACTGGGATCTAAAACTGTTTTTATGGAACTCAGAATATCATGGAAATCACTGTTGTTCAATCTTGGCTCACTTTTGAGAGACTATGTTTATATATGAAACCCAAAGATCCACTACTCAGAATCGGAGTTATTACTTCTGAGCTCCAAATTTCCCTTCAGTGCCTGTTCTGTGATAATGGACTGGAGGCTAAACGTTTCTTCTTGACGATGAGCACAATGTGAAGTTTTGTCAGTAGAGAGCATTGAGGAACACTGTAAGAGGAAGCGGACTTCTCTTCCTGGTTGTGGTTGCTGTGTTTGCTTCTGTCTGCTCTTGCTGCAGGATTGTCTGTGGTGCGGGTGTGTGGGAACTCCAGGGTGCTCTGTCCCCACCACACACACGGCACACAGTACCTTGAAAAACTTACAGCCCCCACCTAGGCTGGTGACCATTTTCTACAGTTCTCCTGACATGAACACCATGCATTCCAGGCCTTGTGCCTGCAGGAATGCCCCCAACTTTCTCTGCCTGTCTTCTCACTGGTGTTTGCTCACTAGTCACTTGGAAGTTTATTCCTACTTGCTCAGCAACTGTGGGCAAGGTTGGGCTAGGAAAACCAGCCAGCTTCTCCATCCAGTAGTCTACAACCACACCTTCCTTAAGGAGATGTGAACTGCAGCATTAGGAAGGCATCTGCCTTTCAATTTACTCTTTCCTTGAACACTCCCACCAGCTCTAGGGTACCCTTGAGAGTTCTTTTTACATTATTACAGTTATTCTATCCATAGCTTACTAATTATTTATATTAAGCTGCCCTATTTAAATTATCATTTGGTTTCTGTTTCCTGATTGTACCTGGACTGATACAAAAGCCAAGGAAGCTGAGTACTACGTATTATGACAGACATGAAGTACATGTGAAGGAGAACATCCTTTACTCAGTGCAGGAAATGCTGGAAAAAGTTGTATCGAGTTCTCTCTCTCTCTCTTTCTGTGTGTGTGTGTGCATGTGTGTGTTTCTATGTGGATTTTTCAGTTAAGAGTAGAGATTATACTTACATATTCTAATGATGAATCTCTGTCCCAGCAAGAGAAAAATGAAGAACAAAGTTCCCACAAATTTAGACAATATTTCCTATCTAAATGCCAGATTGAGCAACTCAGGGACGCAAAGTGAATCTGAAACCCTCTTTTGAAAGATTCAAGTCCATAAATCAATGACTAGATTGCACTTTGTGATGCCTTTTCAAATTTTACAAGAAAGATAATGTGTGTAACATTCTTCCAAAATTGACTAATTCAAGTATAATTCAGAACAATTTACTAATGTGCAGTGATTTATAAAGAGACTTCGTTTTGCTTAAGAATTTCAGAAGAGAATGCATGAGAGAGAATGGCTGAATTGAAATGGCTCTTACATGTTATGCAAAGGATGGGCTGTCGTATGAAGAGTGCTAAGACTAAAGCATCCACAATTTTCACACACTGATCTTCCAGAGTAACATTGTTCTGTCTATGTGAACTGGGATGACTCCTGTGTGCTACATCATTTCCCTGGGGTCTGATAGGTGTCCTACAGCATCAGTAACGCTGGTGAGTGATAAGCAGAGCAAACTGCACCATTCCTATGTGATGAAAAGGGTCACAGGGAAAATAGTGCGTCCACATTCAACAATTCTGATTTCAGCATTCTTGTTTTTCCTACCCTCATACATTCATTCTACCTTCCTCATTCGATTATAATGAAACCAATTCCAGACATTATATCAGGTTGAACTGTTAAATTTCTGATCTTTGATGATTTTTGACCGATAAAGAGATCAAATTTATATTTCAACTTAATACCACTTTACCCAAAACTATATTGGTGTATATTTCCAAAATAATTCATATTACCATAAGAATTATTTTGAAATACAGTCAAAAGAACACTATAACACCAGCAATATACAATATAAATTCTTTAATATCATCAAATGTCTAATTGTATTCAAATTATCTTGAATTTCTATATTTTTGTATTTGTTTTATCTGTAATTTTCTTTTCTTGTCATGTCTCTGTTAGGTTTTAATAGTAGCTTTAAGCTGGCCTCATAAAGTGAGTTGGGAAGTGTATTAGTTTGTTCTCAAATTGCTATAAAGAAATACCTGAGACTGGGTAACTTATAAAGAAAAGAGTTTCAATTGGCTCACTGTTCTGCAGGCTGTGCAGGAAGCATAGCTACTTCTGTTTCTAAGGAGGCCTCAGGAAACTTACAGTCATGGAGGAAGACAAAGCTGGAGTGGGACATTTCACATGGCTGGAGCTGGAGGAAGAGAGAGAAGTGGGAGGTGCTACACACTTTCAAAACAACCAGATCTGCTGGTAAGTCACTTACACACTATCAAGAGAATAGCACTGAGGGGATAGTGCTAAACCATTAATGAGAAACCACCCCCAGTCTCCTCCCACCAGGCCTCACCTCCAACACTGAGAATTACAATTGAACATGAGATTTCACAGAGACCCAAACTATATCAGGAAGTTTTTTCTCCACCTCTATTTTATGATAGAGTGTGTGTAAGCTTGGTAATATTTATAATTTATATAGTGGTAGATTTTATTGCTGAGGCCATGTAGGCCTGGAATTTTCATTGTGGAAAAGATTTTAATGACAAATTTAATTTTTTAAAAGAATGTAGCCCTATTCATAGTTTTTATTTCTGCCTGAGGCCAATTTAGTAAATTCTTATTTTTGAGAATTTATTTTTATTTCAAGTTGTTGATTTTATTAGTATAAAGCTGTTAATAATATTAACTTTTATAATTTTTAGACCTGTAAAATCATTGGTGATGATTGCTATTGATTGTACAGTTGCCCTTCAGTACCCATGGGAGATTGGTTCCAAGACCCCCCACAAATACTAAAATCCAGAGGTACTCAAGGTACATATAAAATGACAGTATTTGCATATAATTTATGCACAAACTCTCATATACTTTAAATCATATCTAGATTACTGATAATGCCTAATACAATGTAAATGCTATATAAATGGTTGCATTGTTTTTTATTTGTATTTTTTATTGTTATAGTGTTATTTTTTATTTTACTAAAAAATATTTTCTATGTGCAGTTGGTTGAATCCATGGACGCAGAACCTATGGTAATGGAGGGCTGACTGTAACTTAATTCTGCTGTTAGAGAACATACTCTGAGTAATTTCCATCTTGTAAAAGTAATGAGACTTGTTTTATAGCCCAGTGTATAATCATTTTTGTTGAACTTTCCATATTCATGTTAAATGTGACCAAAGTTATTAGAATAGTATTGCCTAAATACTTAAATCAAGATGACTGTTATTGCTACTCAAATATTTTTTTATCCTCACTGAACATTTTGTCTATCAATTACTGAAAAAAAGAGGGTTGAAATCTCTATACTTATCTCTCTCTTTAGAATTTATTTATTTTCTTTTTTAATTTTTCCTTTATGTATTTTGAAGATCCATCATTAGCTTTACATTCATTAAGTATTGTATTAGGGTGTTTCAGAAAAATAGAACCAATAGTAAATACACACACACACACACAAACACACACACGTCTATTTCTCTATATATGTATATGTATGTATATGTGTATAGAAAAGAGATTTTTATAAGGAATCGACTCATGCCGTGATGGAGGCTGAGAAGTCCCACAATCTGCCCTCTGCAAGCTAGAAACTCAGGAAAGCTGGAGGTGTAGTTAGAAGGCCAGAGAACCAGAGAGCCAAAGGTGTTTGAAGGCCTGAGAATCGAAAATGCCAAGGGAGGAGATCAATCTCCCAGCTCAAATTCAACTTTACTCTACTTTTTTGTTTTATTCAGAGCCTCAAAGGGATGATGCCTGCCCACATTGGGGAGGGCCATCTGCTTTACCAAATTCACCAATTCAAATGCTAACCTTTTTTTTTTTTTTTTTTTTTTGACACGGAGTCTCGCTCTGTCGCCCAGACTGGAGTGCAGTGGCGGGATCTCGGCTCACTGCAAGCTCTGCCTCCTGGGTTTACGCCATTCTCCTGCCTCAGCCTCCCGAGTAGCTGGGACTACAGGCGCCTGCCACCACGCCAGGCTAATTTTTCTGTATTTTTAGTAGAGACGGGGTTTCACCATTTTGGCCAGGATGGTCTCGATCTCCTGACCTCGTGATCCGCCCGCCTTGGCCTCCCAAAGTGCTGGGATTACAGGCTTGAGCCACCGCGCCCGGCCCAAATGCTAATCTTTTACTGAAATCCCTTCATGGATCCACCCAGAAAGACTGTCCAACCAGGTATTTAGGCATCCAGTGGCTTAGTCAAATTGACACATAAAACTAATCATCGTAAGTATTGTGGTGTTTTCTTGACCAGCTGGCACTTTAATTCTTATGAAATGCCTTTCTATATTTCCAGGGATACTTCTTTCCTTGAAGACTCATATTGTTAGAGGTATTCAAGCTTTATTCAGCTTGATGTTTGAACTTTGTATTTTCTACTCTTTTACATTCTACCTATATGTATCTTTATATTTAATATATTTAGATATACTGGATCTGGAATTTTTATCCAGTTTGACTCGATAAGGGATTCGCTTATTTGATGGAATGAACTTATTAATATGTTTGGATCTAAGTCTGCCATATTGATGCTTTTTTCTATTTGTCTCTTGCCCTTTTTCCTTCTTTATTTCTTCCTTTAAAATAACATTGAAGAATATTTTCACTGGGTATAGAATTCTAAGTTTTATTCAATCAGCATGTTAAATATTTTATTCCATCAGCTTCTTTTTCTATTTTTTTCTAATAAGAAATCAGCCGTCATTCTTATCTTTGTTCCTTTGGTTGCTCTTATAATTTTTTCATCACTTTTGGTTTTTAGGAGTTTGAGAATAATATGCTAAGGTGTGGTTTCTCTCATATGTATCTGCTTGTGGTTTTCTGAGATTCTTAGATCTATTGGTTGATCATTTTATTCAAATTTGGATAAATTTCAGTCAGTATTTTTAATATATTTTTTCTGCCTCATTATCTCTTTTCTTTTCTTTTGAGACTTTCATTATATGTATGTTAGAGCTCTTGATATTGGCCCACAGATTATCAAGACTTTGTTTATTGTTTTAGTTCTTTCTTCTGTCAATCGTTTTTACTGGAGAATTTCCATTGATTTATCAGTAAATTTACTGTTTCTATACCTGCTATGTCTATTCTACTTCTAACTCCATTCACAGAATTTTTTATGTCAGATGTATTTTTTTAGTGCTAGGATTTTCATTTGTTTTTTCTTTACATATTTATAAAATTCTTCATTTCTTCATCTATTAAATCATTTTTTTGAAAATATTTTATTAAACATTAACATACTAATGTCTTTTTCGCTAATTTTAGGATGTGGGTCATTTTTATGTCTTCTTCGGGCAATTTTTTCTCTTAAATATAGATTACCTTTTACCTTTTCCTGCTTCACGGCATATATAGTAATTTTTATTGTACATTAGATACTATGTCTGAAATGTGGACACTCTGGATTCTGTTAATATTTGTATATTTTTGAGTTTTATTTTAGTAGGAAATTAAATTACTCGTAGGGCATCTTGATGCTAAGAAGGCTTAGATATAGACTTTGTGACTTCAATTTTGTACCTACTCGCAGAGTGTAGCCCTTAGTCCTGGGACATTATTTTACTTTTATGGCATTGCTTTTCTTAGATTTTAAGAGTAAGCCTAAGTTGCTTAGCTATCACCCCTAATTTGGTAAGACTTGATCTCCGAAATTTTTCTCCCCAGCTGAGGAGCTGCTGAAAATCTCTGCTCAGCTCTTTCATCTTTCCAAATCTTCGAATTCCTCTGATTTGAAACTTGGTTTCTGCTCTTGCCTTGTGCATATCTAGAACAGAATTCAGTCAAGATTTGAGTGGCATTTGAATGCAGAATGTGGGGCTCCCCTTGTAGCTGTTTACTTTTCCAATGCTTCCTTCAATTTTCCATCCCTTTTGAAGCACTTTCCTTACTCTCCACCAGATTAAGAGCATCACTTTTGGCTTGAGCTTTATTGACCATGTAATGTGAACAGGAGAAGCCCTGAGGGGAAAAGTTGGTTTAATGTGGATCTCAAAGAGTTTAAAGTTTTCCATTTAAAGATCAAATTCCTTCCAATTTCTGCCACTTTTTATTTTTCTCCAATGATTTCAGTGTTGTTTTCTTTTTCATCTTAACTAAAATTTTTGTGGAAAGTTTAGTCTCATACAAGCTAGTCCATTGTTACTGAAAGTGGTACTTCTTAATTATCTACTTTAGTCTTTCACCAGAACCATGGTAATGTCCTCCTGTCTTATCTCTCTGCCTGTAGTCTTTTCTTTTTTTTTCAACTTTAAGTTCTGGGATACATGTGCAGAACATGCAGGTTTGTTACATAGCTATACATGCCCATGGTGGTTTGTTGCACCCATCAACCCATCATCTAGGTTTTAAGCCCTGCATGCATTAAATATTTGTCCTAATGCTCTTCCTCCCCTTGCCCCCTACCCCCAGACAGGCCCCAGTATGTGATAGTCCCCTCCCTGTGTCCATGTGTTCTCATTGTTCAACTGCCACTTATGAGTGAGAACATGCGGTGTTTGGTTTTCTGTTTCTGTTAGTTTGCTGAGAATAATGGCTTCCAACTTCATCCATGTCCCTGCAAAGGACATGAACTCATTCTTTTTTATGGCCGCATAGTATTCCATGATATATATGTGCCACATTTTCTTTATCCAGTCTATTATTGATGAGCAGTGTGGTGATTACCATTTGACCTAGCAATCCCATTACTGGGTATATACCCAAAGGATTACAAATCATTCTACTATAAACACACATGCACACGTATGTTTACTACAGCACTATTTGCAATAGCAAAGACTTGGAACCAACCCAAATGCCTATCGTCTTTTAATCCACTCCTTCCTGTCTGCCTACATAGGCCATTTAGAATAATTTTTATGAAAAACCCAAAAAAACAAAAACAAACAAACAAAAAAAAGTTCTGCTTTTTTGCTGCCTCATTATAAACTATTTCCAGTGCTTTCATTTGCTTCCAATTTAAAGTGTACACTGTTTACTATGCCATATATATAAGAAGAAAACCTAGAATTATTTAGTAATTTATAATTTATGGGTACCAATAAATAAATGAGAATCACAGTCAGTGCTCCATTTTGGTTGTACTAGATGAATATCAGCCCTGCACATGACTTTTTTAATCTTCTGCATCAAGTTGACTTTCAGGCCACATTTCCTGAGAATGCCTTCCATGTTAATCTCAATATTTCAGTTTTTAGATAATTCTTTTTCCCCCAAATATGGCATGGTATATATGGAATTGTCATATATACCTGTATTCATTTTCTCAGACAGGCTGGGAGCAAAGTATTGCAAACTGGATGGCTAAAAAGAAACTTAAGGCAAAAAGTCTTCAGTCAAGGTGTCAGGCATGACATACTGTTTCTGAAGGCTTTCAAAGGAGTTTCCTAGTTGAAGAAGCATCACTGCAATCTCTACTTCCATCAACACATGGTATTCTCTGTGTGTCTCTGTGTCCAAACTTGCCTTTTTTATAAGGATACCAGTCATTGCATTACAGCCCACCCTAATTCAGAATGACTTTATCTTAACTTCATTACATCTGCAAAGACTTATTTCCAAACAAGGTCACATTCACAAATTACTGATGAATATGAATTTTTTTTGAGGGGGGACTGTTAAACCCAGTACAATACTTAAACCTTATTTGGCATTTACTAACCAAATGACTGTCCCCTTTAAGTACTTTTCTAATTCCTTCCATTGAATAGTGCTGTTTCCTTCACACAGATAATATAGTTGTTTTCTTGGCTGTCCCCCTCCAATAATTTTGAGTCTTGCAGAAAGACTAGTTTATTATTTATCTTTGCTTCTTCAGAGCCTCCTTCAATGCATAGCTTAGGGTAGTCAATGTTTGGTAAATGAATGATTTTTTAAGGTAACAAAGAATGTGCCTTCTTTCTTATTATTTAAAACCCTCAAGCCTTATTAGCTTTGTATATTATTATCTCATCCCCTTTTGCCACAACTTTTTTCATCAAGATGAAAGAAATTAAAATCATATTCTTGGCAAATTACAAACATAAGCTGTGGTATCAGGGTAGACCCTCTGAGTCTGAAAAGAAAGAATAGATAGAAACATAATGTAAGTCTAAAAATGTTACTGAGAAAGTTAGTAATGATATTGACTTAATTTTGCTCGCTAGGGAAGGACCATGACTGAACTCAATGTGTTGAAAAGTTCAGAGACATTAATCTTCTTATCTGTGCCCCAGAACTCCCCCTGCAAAGACAAATGAGCAAGCATTGATGAATGCTGCTTCATTAGGAGAATTTAAAAATGCAATTTGTCTTCATGAAAAGGAAGTATTTTTACATTTTCCATTTTACAATGAATCAGTGCAAAGAATTTTCAACCATTACCCTTTGACTTAGAATGGCCTTTATGAACAGCGTATCAGCTCAGTAATAGACTTTAGGGGAAATCTTAACACAAAGAAACTTGCTGGAAATATACAAAACAATATCTATAATCTACAGTTCCTTAAAAGAGTTTTATTAAATATTTTCAGAGTTTTAAATGTCCCTTTTGTTTACTTTTGTAAGAGGCAAGAAAACTAAAAACTAAGAATAATAAACAGCAAACAAAACACAGAAAAAATCTTTAAAAGGAAATTTTCTGGTCTGTCATAGAGTAAGTATATAGTCTTCCAAATCTTGTGCTTTTTCAGTATCCATGTAATCAACAGTAAAACATTTTGTCCCCAGTGATTACATAAAAATCTACAAGATCCACAGTGACCCAAACATAAATATACCATGGTCACTCTGTTCTTAGAAGGAATATCAGTTTCAAACTGTTGGGGCTCAGGACACACCACCACAATAAATGCTGTTTTGGCCTATTGGTTACTTTGAGATAAAAGAAATTTAGAGCCAGCCAACGTAGAAGTTCTTCATCTCCTTCTAAACTGTCTAAAATATACAACTCCTATTTTGTAAAGAGAAATTTACATGTACAAAGGAAGTGTTAATTAGTAAAGTTATCTGGACTAGAGAAAGAGGCTACTCTGAGACATTTGTCACCTGAGAGACTTTTATCTGCATAAACAAGGCAACATTTATTATCATACTTAATGTCGTCTCAACCTCCCATAGTTTGTCTTCACCACCCTAGATGCCCCAATCCCCTATGTCTTTCTGTGGTTAAGGATGCTATATAAACCTCAGTCATCAGACCACTTCACTGAGTCTCATATTTTTGTGGGACTCCTGAACATGTGTACATACATAAAGTTATTGTTCTTATGTCAATTTAACTTGTAGACCAGCCGAAGAACCTAGAAAGGTAGAGGAAAGCAATTTTTCATTCCCTACAAAACAAACAAACAAAGCCTTAATATCAGAAAGTATCATCTGTTTAACCATCAAATAAGTAGAATATGAAATTATTCAGAACCCTCATCATATATAATCAGCCTTGTTAATGGAAGCATTGTAGTTCATTTATGTGATAGTATTCATTCAAGTAATCATTTTTTAGCATTTAAGTTTTGTTCCCATTGTTAAATATATTTTAATGTCCTTCACTACCCATGGCGAGTTGGAGGAACACCACGAGCACTCCTGTGTGTCACTTGCACATGGGTCTGTCTGCAGGACATTTGTCATTGGCAGTCCATACATTCACTACCAGAAGAATCACCTGGTGAACTTTAAAAAATTATGCCCCAACAAAGATTTTGTTTTTAAAAGGAAATGGATCAGACCCTGGAATTCAGAATTTTAAAGAAATATTCCAGGTGATTCAAATGCAGGTAGTTTAGGGATCACATTTTGAGGAGTACTAATTCTCTCTGCTTCCACTGAAGTATGCTTTCTGTGTGTAGATCACTCTTTCTTTGTTCCAAAAGAGCACATGGAATTTGTTGTTGCATCAGTGAGTTTTCCTTATATCCTTTTAATTTTACACACACACTACTGAGAAATTTTTTGGAAACCACCAGCTTGCTCCACATGTCACGTGTGTGTGTGTGTGTGTGTGTGTGTGTGTGTGTATACACATATATATATATATTTTTTTTTTTTGCCTAGATCTTCCATTTTTTAGACTCTCATTCACAACTGAATACTTCATTTCCTTCGACCTTGAGAATCAATTTTCTGCAGCCTCAAAATCCTTTTTCCCTGGGTCTTTGGCCTCTACAAAATTCAGCTCTTCAACTCAAGTGCCCACCATCTGGAAAAAAAAATCCTGCTTACATTTCTCCACCTCATCAGCTCTCCATATGGCTTCAAAACTCAGTTAAAAACACATCTCCTTCTTCTGTGCTAAAGATCTCTTGATTTTCACCTCTCCTTGAGTTATAATTTATTTTTATCTCAACGTCTGCTAACCTTGAAGACCGTCTTTTAAAAAGAATTTAACTCTTGGTTGGTAGTATAGGCTTTGAGATTGATCCTAAGGAATAAAATGCTAATCATGTTGAAGAAAGACAAACTCTCTCCTTTGCAGGTTAACTGCATCTGTGCAGACCTGTTTGTCTTCATCTTTGACCCAAAACATCACATCTTTATATCCTTGGTCAGTATAAGATCTTCTAGAATCATCCTGTTATCCACACTGGCTTCATGATGATGACGTACAATTTTATTTTCCTTGCCTTCTTTTCATGGGAGATTTTTTCAGAAAAGGATCTCTACTCGGGGTCCTAAGAAGTGTGAGGCATAGTGTAATTGTAAAGAAAATTGAAATATATTGCAAATTTTGTATGAAATGTGAAGGCCATGAAATATTGCAGTAAAAAAAATGATTTGAGGCCTAGTAGGCAAAAAATATGAGAAAAAGATGTAGGCAGCAATGATGCATGAAATGTTTGAAACCACAGAGGAAGTGCCTGACAAGATAGGTAGGAACAAGGTGAACAACATATCAAAGACTGAGAAGGAACAGCCCTTGAGAAAAGACAAGAGATGAAGAGAAGGAGTTTGAGAAGGTGTTTAATTTACTCAGCTGGGTAACACCCTAAGGGAAAAGATCACAAAATTTATTTGAAAATACACTGTCTTTATGGGCTAATACTACCATCGTGGAAATAAGTTGGTGGAATTACTTATAGAATTTTCTTCTCTCTGAGTGTTAAGTTTTTTTTCACCATGATATTGATCAGGAACCCCTAAGAAATTGAACTAAAGCCAATGGTATCATAATCATTTTGGGAGTGCATATTCTCTGGACCATTGCTATTGAAATATTTTACCGGAGATTTCCATTCTTAAGGGCTCAGAGGGAAGGAATATGCTACCAGCATAGACCCCGGTGGTGTTCTTTCTGAACCAGGTGGAAGGGGGATGGTGAGTTCTGAGGTAACTCGCATTTATAGTGAAATCCTATTGTGCCAGGCTTCCGGAAGCCCTTCATTTTAGAGAATCTTTGTGTTCTGCCTATTCTAGCTTCTGTTGCTGCTGCTACCAAATTTCTCCTAACCTGCTTTCTGGTGTTTTGCCTAACAGATGCAGGTTTGTGGTGGGAGGTGGAGTTGCCTCATCCACAGAGGTAGATGCCTGATTGACTCTAACGCACTGTGGAGCTTTCCTATTCCCACCACTTAGCCTTCCAGCCTCATGTGGGAAGACTCTCCTCACTCTGTGGAGTCTTCTGTCAAGAATTAAATTGTCTCACCTTCTTTACAAGGAAAGAATGAGGAGAGGCAGTACTGATTCTAGCCAGGGCCAGAGCCTTAGCAGCCAGCATGAGAGAGGATCTTGAGGCCCAGCTTAAGCCCCTGCTGTGTCAACTGGTTCCTATAGCACCTACATTTATTCTCCAGGAGAACTGACTGCCTCAAAAATCCATAGTAGTGTTCTGATTTTGAACGCTAAAATCCTTTGACCTGTGCCTCTGTTTAATTTTTTTTTTTCTATTTCATTTAAATCAAAACTGACAGGAAAAAGAGCAGACTAAAAGAGTTATTTCCCTTTGCTGCTTAATGGGATATGAAGCTTCAGCTTATGACTGAAAATAAAACTTTCCACTTGGGTAAACATAATTCTCTCTCTCTCTCTTTTATTATTTCTTTCCCAGAAATAATCCCATTCATTTACAAGGATAGAGTAATTTAGTACAAAATAATTCCCCTTCAACATCTTTTGTGGTAATTACTTGGCTATCTCCTTAGTTCTCTTCTTCTGTGAGTTGTGGACCATCCAGAGTCTGAGCTGGCAATACAGACTGTCCTGGAGACCAGAGGCCAAAGGGATGAGCACAGATCCTTGTAATGCCCCATGAGGCCACAGACCATTAATTGAGAGTCTATCAGGATTGAGACCCTTGCTCAATCATCCCTTACAGTTGGCATCAGACCCAAAGATGGAGAGACTCTCGGACAGTTCCTTCCAAGCCAGGGGAATTCATGCTTTTTTCTTGGGGAAGGTTAGCAGTGCATCTCTGATGTTCAGTGACAGTGATGTACATATCGAAGTGGATCTATTGGCTGGTCCAGTGAGGAGCAAATACAATCAATGCTGCTGTAAGGGAACTTCCCGTGCAGATAACCTTTTGGAAATTTTTATTTCAGGCTCACTGCTTCCCCACTCTCACCTCCATCATGTGCACCAGCTTTTCCTTAAGTAATAAGGAGAGGAGGCAGAGAATTTATCATTTAAAATTATCTTCAGGTCCCTCGTGGGGTTCAATTAGTCTTGTTCTTTGTCATTTTTAACACTCACTAAGCCACAGTTTTTCTTTTGAGAGCTTATTTTGCATGTATTAATGTGCAATAAAATGTAACAAACAGGAATGGAACTGAAAAACACTGTGTTTTTATAGGTATATCAAGATTTCATTTCTCTTTTGTAGAAGAAACTCAAGTTTTCTACAGCTTGTTTAATATTGAAGCGTAATGACTCTACCTAGTGCTATTACTGGGAAAGTAATGGTAGGCTCTGCCAAGGAAGAAGCTGGACCCCAGGGCATTGGAAAGAGAACAGCTAACCAGACTTTAATATAGAAAAATAGATAAATAGGGTGATAATTCAATCAGAAGGCAATGTACCTATCATGCAACAGGGGAAAGCACAGCTGGAGGATTTGAAAGTGATTTGGAAGAGAAAACTTCTTATTAAATTAGAGACAAAGAATCAAGTTAGGTGTTGGTAGTGGAGTAAAACTTGGTTGTGAGGTCCTGGAAAAAGAGCTGCCAGCTCTTCTGTTGTAAATCAGAATATTTCAGAGAGCCCAGTTTTTCCCACAAGTTTGCTTTAGGTAAAATCCAAGTCAGCACCCTTCTGAACCGCAAGGAAACATGCAGTTCCTGATTTACTGGGTAACCATATCTCTGGGAATTGGCTCTGAGGCTGTCGCTGCAATCAAGTGAAATTCATTAGCCGATGTTGGATTTTAGTACAACCTGACAGGCATGTGATATCATGGAACAACCAGCTTAGGAAAGCAACTTTGGAAATAGACATTATAGTTTGCATTAAGTTTATACCAGCATAGGCTAAGAAAATTAGGGGATAAATGTTAGTGAGATACTTCAATCTTTGTCTGGAGGCCAAGTTAGGGTCTGTGACAGACATCCTGAACATTGTATTATGTGCATGATACCAACTGATTTCTTGGCCTTTCATTTTAGGTCACATGATCATTTATTCTGTGCTCATGTTTTAGGAGGATCCAAAAGTGAGCTGGGCCCAGATTTTTTCTTCACAGAGCTTACAGAGTAGATATGGGGAAAGAGCCCATTGTAAAAGTACAAACCTTAATTCAGGGAGACAAGGATCTGTGTCATTGAGAGGCAGACACAAAATGCTATGAGAATTTAGAAGAGTGAGATGTCACCTTTTTAGTGCTGAGAAAAGGTCAGACTCTTCAGCGGCATTGTGTGTGTTCCATACTCTTTGTAGATATGAAAGTATAGATTTTCCAGGAGTTGTTTTTTAAAGAGTTTAAAGGAGAGTTTTCTATTTTGTTAACATTTGTCCTATTTTTCTAGCATCTTCAAAAGCACTGGGTTCACCTTTTTCTGCCTCTAGAGCCCCCTGTTCATCTTCCATTGCTGATCACTGGAGGGCTGTCTGTGTGGCAATGGGTAGCCCTTGTCCCTACTGAGATGAAGAAAAATGGGATCACGGTCTTGGATTCCCAATCCTTAGTCAGACAGTGGCTGGTAAAGCAGAAGCTGGCTCAGTTTTCATTCTCCAAAGATTTATGCTCCATGTAGGAGATCTTTGGCAATAGTGGAAAGAGATTAATCTGATGGCCTATGTTTAATAAGAAATATGGTGGCCGGCCGGGCACGGTGGCTCACGCCTGTAATCCCAGCACTTTGGGAGGCCGAGGCGGCGGATCACGAGGTCAGAAGATTGAGACCATCCTGGCTAACACAGTGAAACCCTGTCTGTACTAAAAATACAGAAAAATTAGCCGGGCATGGTGGCGGGCGCCTGTGGTCCCAGCTACTCGGGAGGCTGAGGCAGGAGAATGGTGTGAACCCGGGAGGCGGAGGTTGCAGTGAGCCGAGATCGCGCCACTGCACTCCAGCCTGGGCAACAGAGCGAGTCTCCATCTCAAAAAAAGAAATAAAAAGAAATGTGGTGGCCTTGGGAATCAATTCACAGCTGCGTCCTTTACCCATAATAGTGAAACTAGACTCCATTATGTTTCTCCAAATAGTTACCGCACTGTTTCTGGCACTCACATTTCTATTTTTATGGCCCTTCTCGATTTAGACTTTTTGCACACACATTACATTTTTTGATAGCATGATGTATGTCCAAATTATTAGTTTCTTTCATAATTTCAGGATCCAAGAAGGGGCTCAATTATGTTTGGGAAGAGAGAGGTAGAAAATGAATGAATATAGACTTTTATTCATGGGTATTTCTAGATCCATAATACCTTGAACCTTTGTTCAAGAACTATTTTGGCAATTGAGGACACATCTTTTCAATTCTTTGAGACTCAGTTTTCTCCTCCACAAAGCAGACAATGATTGAGACTTTAGACTTAAAGATGTTCTCCAGATGCCCAGAACTGACATTTTAAGATTTTTAAAGTCTCTCTGATTGTTTAAGTGACTGTTGAAATATAGATCATTTTCCCACATACTGGAAGAGGATTGTATAAGGTGGCTATCTTCCAACTGGTATGAGTGTTTACTTGGATATATATAAAAACTGTCCAGGACTATGTGAGAGTATATACATCTTTAAGAAAATCAATTTTCAGATTCAAATGTCCTCTTTCCTAAAATCGATTCTTGAAAAAGTTCTTTTGCACTGCCATTCTTCTTTCCCACCTCCTTTTCACAAATTTCTGCCTTCTAGTTAATAAAGAAAGATCAATTTCTCACCTATCATGACTCCCACTGTAGTTCATTGCCCTGGGAGGTAAACACTTCTGAGGCACCAAACAAAAGGCCAGAGGAAAATGTCTTGCTTCAGAGAAAAGTCGGGTAGAAGCAAAGTGAGAATATGTGGCCCTGTTTCATCTAGGTGACATATTCTTGACAGTGCTCTGTGTTTTTTCTACCTGTCAATCCATATTTGAATTAGAATTTGGGAGAGAGATACTTGTCATGAAGTCATTTATTAACAAGTTTATTTGAACTGAAAAATTGAAGTAGGCATTTTCTGACAAAAAATAATAATAATTCTTATTTGATGGATTGAGTAGATGCCAAAATTGGTTTGTGAATTAACTTATATAGAAGATTGTGTGTATAAATTGAGTGAGATAATTCTTCAGCTCCAAAGTTTTGAGAAGTAGCACATATTTAAAGCACAGTCAGAATATATACTAGACAGAAATTATATTCTTTGCAACTATGCATTCTTATGATGAAAAAATTTGGATGTCTAATTAAAACTGTGGAAAATAGTGTATATGTTTTCTAAAACTTTAGTAGAGTATACAGAAACAAAAGTTTGAAAGTCACTGAATGAATGTAAGTTCATTAACATTAATTCTGTTTCCCTTTTGTAGGTAATCAGAAGCATATGGCCAACGCATGGTCCATATGTATTTCCCTAGTCACCGCTTGTTACAGCAAACTTCAGAATAAATCCTCTGAGAATTAGATTATACCATCAGCCACTGATGGTTGTACTGGCAGCTGAACACTTCTGCCATTCACATATTACAAACCACTGTTAGCATCACAATCATCTTACATTTAATGTGCCTTACTTATCATGTAATGGCCCTGTGTTCTATACATTGTCATCTGTAATCTTAACCACAGCTTCTTGAGGCGTATAGGATATTCCTTTATTGGCTCATGAATTGGGGACCATTAAGTACACATTTTCTTCTACTTTATACACCTCTCACATGGCAGACACAGAATTTTAAAGCAAGAGATTTCAACATAAAGCTTAACCTTTTAGACTACGCGTCCTGCAAAAATGAGCTACACTTACCCTAAGTGTTTTAAAATGGTTTTTAAAAGTCAAAATTTTGTAGGATCTTCACAAATTTGATCATATTTTAATGTAATTTTAACTGAAAATTACAGTCATTTTTGAGGGATACTATAGTGAGATTTTAATAACAAAATCAAAACATGATATTTCATGTTACCTAAAATAAGAGGGAAAATATTTATGTTCTGTTAGTTAGTAACTAAACAATTTAATGTTTTAGGGTAAAATTAATGCTGATTTTCCTTCAGAAATTCTTATAAATAAAAATGTCACAGTCAACTATGAAATTACAAAGAAAATTTCTGCACTGAGTACATGGTATGATTTCTTAATCTTGAGGTCACTTTTCTAATTTTATGGAAAATAAATATTCTGCGAATAAATTGTCCATAAACAATTCTTATACTTTCATGATGATGAGATAATACAATGATAAATATTTCATTATTTATTGAGAAATTACTATGTGCCAATCACTCTGTTGGTTGTTATATATATATATATATATATATATTATTTAATTTGAAACTCATGAGCTATCAGTGAGATAGGTATTATCTGCTTCTTACAGATGATGAAAATTAAACTTGTAAAGGTTAAATAACTTACAAATCACACAGTAGATGATGACGTTTAGTAACAACATAGGCTGTTTAACTGTAAAAGGCTCTGTATTGAAATATTGGTGGAGATTAAAAAACTTTCTTTCATTGAATCACACTTATTCTTTTTTTTTTTTTTTTAGATGGAGTCTTGCTCTGTTGCCCAGGCTGGAGTGCAATGGCTTGATCTCTGCTCACTGCAACTGCTGCCTCCCAGGTTCAAGAAATTCTTCTGCCTCAGCCTCTGAGTAGCTGGGATTACAGGTGCATGCCACCATGCCCTGCTAATTTTTGTACTTTTAGTAGAGATGGGGTTTCACCCTGTTGGCCAGGTTGGTCTCAAACTCCTGACCTCAGGTGATCTGCCTGCCTCGGCCTCCCAAAGTGCTGAGATTACAGGCGTGAGCCACCATGCTCGGCCGCATTTGTTCTTTTATATTATTCTATCTGGGCTAGTAAGGTTATATGGACATGAAAACTTAGAAAGTATAACAGAATCAGAATACAGTCCAGAACTGAGCAACCTGAAAGGAGTAGCTTAGTTCAGTTATGCAGTAAGAATGGATTGTTCTATAAGGCGTTTATTTTTCCGTATTTATTTATATTTTCACAATCATATTGGCAATGTGATAGTGTGATCAGAGGTTTGGGGCCAAGGAGGATGCTGGTGAGGAAAGCTTAGGACTCACATGTGAGGTCCTTCCATGTTAGGAAGCTAATAAATACATTGCATCATTGCATATCTCCTTATTCTAAATTTTTTTTTTTTTTTTTTTTTTTGAGACAGAGTCTCGATTTGTCGCCTGGCTGGAGTGCAATGGTGTGATCTTGGCTCTCTGCAACCTTCACCTCCCGGGTTCAAACAATTCTCCCTGCCTCAGCCTCCCAAGTAGCTGGGGTTACAGGTGTCCGCCACCACACCCAGCTAATTTTTGCATTTTGTAGTAGAGATCGGGTTTCACCATTTTGGCCAGGCTGGTCTTGAACTCCTGACCTCAGGTGATCCACCCATCTTGGCCTCCCAAAGTGCTGGAATTACACGTGTAAGCCACTGCACCCAGGCTGCTTATTCTAATTCTACCATCTCTTAGCTAGACATGATTTTGGCAAATAATTTCTTGCAGCATCTGTTTCCTCATATGCAAAATGAGGGTGATATCTCCTTATATGGGTACTCTTATGACCATGAAGATAATTCAAAGTGTTTAGCATAACATCTAGCATCTGGTAGGTTGCACAACACATGTTAACTACTGTCATTATCATTGTTATTTTCATCATTGTTCTCATTTGACCTGAAGTGCCCTCTGTGTAATAGATGCCATAGACACAACTTAGAAATCTGTGACTATTTTGTAAAATTTTCAAATAATCTGTGGATCCTACCTCTTCCCTGGGGACTTGATCATATTTTGCAGTTAGCTCTGCTGTATGGTCTACCTTTTGTTATCTTCACGGGTGCTGCTTTGTTAAAGGAAGGCATTGAAAGCATGGATGACTTCATGGAGCAGATTGTTAACTACTATCTGGAATGGTTATTTAAATATCTCATTTCTTTGCACATTTATTCCTGAAAATGTTTCTTGAAAGAGATTCAAGGCAGGAGTTAGGATTTTTATAAGAATTTCTGGTATAAGTGGACAATAGTAACTGAGAGTGTGAGAAAAAGCAGTGGCTCTCTAATGAGTATTATTTCTGATCTTTGCTTTATAGCTAGCAGGGAAGACAGGAGTTTGAGGAATCATGAGAAAAGGAGAACTGGTGGGGGTGGTGTCCCATTCATACAACAGGGCTCAGGGCAGCGAAGCAAGCAAAACATCTTTCCATCCATGCTGTGGAAGTGGCTAATTTTTGCTTTTTTTTTTTTTTTTTTTTTTTTTGAGATGGAGTCTTACTCTGTTGCCCAGGCTGGAGTGCAATGGTATCATCTCCACTCCCTGCAAACTCCTCCTCCCGGGCTCAAGTGATTCTCCTGCCTCAGCCTCCCAAGTAGCTGGGACTACAGGTGTCCACCACCACACCTGGCTAATTTTTGTATTTTTAGTAGAGATGGGGTTTCACTATGTTGGCCAGGGCTGGTCTTGAACTCCTGACTTCGTGATCCACCCGCCTTGGCCTCCCAAAGTGCTGGGATTACAGGCGTGAGCCATCGTGCCCGGCTGGAAGTGGCTACTTTTTCAGAACAAAAAGTTAGCATGTGGGGAGGCAAGTACTGTAAGGAAGCATTGCTCTCTAAAGTGAAGAGCTGTGAGCCGCCTGGAGAAAGCTGTAGTCTCTTCAGATCCTCAAAGAAGGTGGGAGTGTGTGTGGGAAGGGTTGGGGGGATTCAATTTAGGCCACAGACACTGATAACTTTATTAAATATTGATTTTTGAAAATATATATATATGCACTAAACCATGAGCCAGGGAAGATCAGAGTTAGTGATAAAAATAATTATTAGTAGTATTTCAGTTTTATTGCAAACAAAATAAGTTGGTATAATCTATGTGTAGAACCATCTATAAAAATAACTATCATCTCCATTCCGCTTGGAAAGTGGGAGTCACTCTTTCTTTCATGACAACCAGGAGGTCCGCTTCAAAGTGGTAATATTTGTTTCTTTTGTGGCTTCAGGAGCCAGCAAAGCCAGGATTTCTGGTCATCTCACAGACTTTAAAAGACTATTAACCCAGGCTCAAAAACAGGGCTGCAGAATTTGTGGTAAGCAGGGCCTGGGAAAATATTCTGTGTGGTGAACAAGGAGAGGAGAGGGCCACTTGAACGAAGCCCAAGAGTAAACGGTGTCCTTGCTAATTCCACATAGCGTTTATTTGATATCAGTGGTGTTTCTAACTCCAGGGAGCCTGAGAGCCTTCAGCATCAGTCACCTCTGTTTTTAGGGTAATAACTATTGATTCATTTAATAAGTGTCTCCTAAACTAAATGATGCAAATGTAAGTACGGGGAAGGTCTGCTTCTACTTAGAGGACATCAACTTTGGAAGTAGCTATCTTGAGAATTATATCTTCTTGTCACCGCAAGTATTCAGGCAGGGACTAGACAAGCATTTCTCAGAGCATACACTGTGGGTGGGGCATTGAATGTAGTCAGGCACCCCCAAAGCATTCAGCATTCTATGATTCTTCCACAGGCCCAAGTCTCTGATGCTCTGTCCTTCTAAGAAGGTAATGATAGCAATGCTCTTGTTGATTATGATAATGACTTGTGTTGATTATTCATTGTTTCTCATTTCAATGAATGACAGAGCTGATGAAATGCATTCAAGATAATGAGTAAATGGTGCCTTTTACTGAAATGGAAAGTAGACTAGGAACTGTGAGAAATGTTCTTCAATCCAAGCACATAACCCTTTCCACAACTCTAAGAGACTGATATTATCTCCATTTTACAGATAAGAAAACCAAGCCTTGGAATTAAGACTTGGTTTCTGCCCTTGAATATTTCAGAGTGAGAAAAGAAGTCATATACACAGTTACTGAAAAATGTAAGTAGAGCCTGCTGATACGTGGCAATGTGGGAACTGTTATAAGACATTCCATATCATGAGCACGCCAAGTGTGCATGAGCCCGAGACCTGGCTGGGTGCTGAGAAGGTTTATGGTAGAGGCGGGAACACATTACTTAAGAGGGTGGTCTATTTGGTCAAGTAAGTGGAAGGTTTATGCTTACTTTAAAATAAAATCTTTTAAAAAATGAATGTGCTGGCTGGAATTTTACTGTGGTGTCAACAACTTTCCATGCAATAGCTATCAAATTGGCTGTGTACTCTGGATAAATATCTTTCCCATTTTATTTGGCTTTAAACCTGAGTTACAGGAGAAACAAATCATTATAAGTAGGAATACCCAAATTAAATGAGAGTTCAGTTTTGAGTCTACCTGCTTCAGTGTTCTTAAGCCACATGTTTTAAAATTCCCTTAGATTTCGTTGGTGGGATTGTAGGTAAATCCACATAAAGAAAATAGATAATTCTCCTACCTTTCTGGACTCCTTGCTAAACCGCTCTGTGAGAAATTAGTTACTGACTAAACTTTGCAATCAATTGAAACTTGTCTAGGCACACACATTTATAGATGTGTATAGAGACAGGCTTGTTTTGGCTTTTGAAGAGAGAATGTGAATTATGAGTTGGAGGATGTGAATTTTGGTGGGAGCTTTGTCACTGTGACCTTCTGCTTACCCTTAACGCTCCCATCTGTGAAATGAGGCCTTTGTACAAGACATTATGACGGACTCACCCTAACAAGGATTCTTTAATGTTGTGTTTTTCAAGATAGAAAAGGAGTAGAGGAAACTGAACATCAACTCTGAGTACAATCCATCCTCTCTCACCACTTTATGGAACAATTTTGGAGGTCATGTCAAGTATTCATTTAAAGAAGGAATGATTATATTGCAAATTAAACCAAATAAACAGTCACTGGCATCTTCAAGGAGAAGGAAGTTTAGATAACCTCAATTAAAAACAAATCACTATGAATTACTTTTTCCGCTTCTTGCACTTCATATAAATGCATCCGATTCTATGTGGCTTTTTTTTTTTTTTTTTGGCCTGGCTTCTTTTGCTCAACTAAATATCTTTGAGGTTTATCCATATTGTTGCATGTATCTACAATTAAAATTTTGCACTTTGCTATACCTTAATTTAAAAAATGGAATAAAAACATTACTTAAAAAGGAATAAACAAACCAATATTATCTTTAAAATCATCACCTCCTGGGGTCTTGGTGCGGGCTGAAATTAGAACAAATATATATTATGGGATAGGAGAGATTGCCTGGGAAAACATTTTTTCTATATCAGCAGATCACCATTCTCTATGTTGGACCCTTCCTTTCACATAATCAGAAGAGAAGTAAAAGCTATTTTGGTTTTATAATATATTAGTTTTCCCCATTGGATCCCACTTAGTATGATGTTAAATACCCGGGCCTTATGCAATGTGAATTTGGCATTTCTAACCAGCAATAGCCAGGCAAGAGTGTGGATGTGCTTTTTCTAGCATGGACAGGGGAATGTGACTGGCCGCAAGGCTGAGGTCCAAACTCCAGGCCTGGCATTTCAAGCTGTTTAGAGTCAGTCCTTGACTCAGACTAATGGGCTCCCATTCCTTTCTGATTCTTTCTGATTCTGGGTGGCTTGCAAAGAAGCCAGACAGCTTGTCATCACAGCAACCCAGAGCTAAATCTAAAGTGTAGGTTTTCCAGAGTGGTAATTCATTCAAGTCAGCTAACGTTTATATAGTGGCTACTGCATACCTATCTGTTTTCAAGTGTGATGTTTTTAAAATCTTTATTCTTTGCTCTCCTATTCCCTATCATCGCCGCTGATATGAGCATCACTTAATATATCATAGACTTGGAGATATAGCAGTCTTCTTTGTCAAAAGTGACAGTATCTTTCAACTTTCACCTTATACCTGACAGGCTCTTTTCCTGGGATATCTTCACTCATTCACTCACTCACTTATTCACTCAAACAAATCTTCTCTTCTTGGTGGTGAGGATACATCAAGAAATAAAAGTACAAAATTCCCTGCCCTCTTTCCATGTTGCTTCTCATTGTTCAAGACTTGGCTTAACTCCTGCCTCCTGCTGGAATGCTTCCCCTTTCTAAGCTTCTGCAAGCCCAGCTTTCTACACTGTCCTCAGATACTGCTTGCTTACACCTGCTTTATGACTCTTCCTATAAGAGCTTCAGTTATTAGCTAATTCTTTGTATGGTGATATTTCAGTTTCTCAGCAGTATCATCAACTCCAAAGGATCATACATTATATATTGTTGGACTCCTAAGTGTACCTGGCACAGTACCTTGTGTGGAGTGGGTGTCAAGTGGACAAGGGAATGAACATTTTCTCTCCAGCGACTGTAGGAAGTAAAGGACTCTAATGTGCAGATGTACCCTGGATTTCAGGCTGAGCTCCAACATCTCTTAAAATGTAGGGATTATTATAATGTAATTCCCTTTATAGCAGTCCATCAATTTGAACCTGAAGATGCCTCAGCACGTACCTCAGGGCTTGGCATATTTCTAGCACTCAAAAAATATTGTCTGACTTTAACATAAAGATGCCATGGGTGTTTCATATGTAAAGAACTGAGAGTGTGCTGAAGGACCTCTGAAGTGCTGATAGGCTCTAGTGTGTAGGGGTGGGGGAGGATGAGGAGGTGGTAGGGTTCCTTAGTGGAGTGGGAGCACTCGAACTGATAATAGAGTATGTTGGGGTGCCTAAGTTTGTTCCATCTGGAGAAATGCCACAAGCATGAACTATCCTTGGTCTTATTTCTGGTCTCAGTGCTTTTTTACCCTAAATGCAACCTCCAAAGGAAGAGCACACTTTGACAGCAATACCATGTACACCTGCTCTCTGGATAGTATGTTTAGCATCAGAGCATTGAGAAGTGCTCATGAAATGTAGAAATGGCCTTGGCTCCCGAGTTCTACCCAATCTTCTCTCAGTCAACAAGCCCTGAATGAATTCCATGCCCTCATCTTTCTACTTAGAGGAGGTCAACTTTGGAAGGGGCTCCTTCAGGAGTGTGAGCTTCTACTGAGAGCAAATTGGCCAGCAGAGGCTATACAAGCACCTCCCAGGGGGCGCTATGGGTGAGGAACTTAGGTCAGACACCTTTCATTCTGTGATTCTTCAATGTGCACACATTTTCTCTGGATGTTGTGTGAGAAGAACTGTGTTGCCAGGGGGAAGGAAGGAAAGAAGCAAGGGGCTGCAGGTGGTCTTCTCAAGCCCTATCAATGCACAGTGGGAAGCCTGGGCTGAGCCCTCCAAGGATAACAAGTGCACCCAAGTGCAACACCAATGTGCAGCCTTGAGTATTTCTACTTAACGCTTTCATCTCCATTTTTGTTTCTCACAAAGTGAATTCAAGCTGCCTACCACCTACAGATCCCACAGGCTTCTGTGAGGTTGAATGTGTTAATGGTTGTAAAGTGCTTTGAGAGTACAGAATATTATTATCATTTCATGGACATTTTGCAGTTCCCAGTGGTTAGTTTCATTCTTCCTGTTAATCTTGAATGCATTAAAATGGCTAAATAAAAAGTATTTTGAGTAAATCAAGATACCCATGATTTTTAAAAGTTCTTTATTATATATTTTGATATGCATCATCACCTTCTTCTGACTTTCCACATAAACTGCTATGGCTAAACAGCTCTGTAATGATATTGCTACTTGGCTGTAATTTAGAATGCTATAAAGATTATTTAGCACAAAGAAATATTTCCAGTTAAAATTTAGCAACTCCTTTCAAATAGATTTACATTAAGTCTTAGACTGAATTTTAAAAACATTGAGCAGAGCAAAAATAAAATGTAGTTCATGTTCTCATAAAATATCTGTTCCTCCACTGGCTCTTTACCCTCTGTTTTTCTTTATGGCAGATTGCCTCTATAGTTAGAAGCAACCTACCTTCCCTTTGCTTTCCTTTCCTTTCATTTGTTTCCAACTCTTTCCTCCCTCCCTACATCTCTTCTTTCTTTTCTTCAAAAAAAAAAAAAAAGATACGCTGAAGAAAGCACTTCCCTGGTGTCTGGTATACTGTTAATTTTGGATAAAGATTTAATGTTCCTGTTGTTGTTGCTGTTGTCATATACCAGGCGTTGTTTAAGCTCTTGAAAGGACAAAAGGCAGTGAGTACCTACACTTAAGAATTACATAAGATAGAGAAATAGAAACACAGACATAGAAGTATATAAATAACAGCATAATGTTTTAGTACTGACATAGAGAATATTTTAAAAGGTTGTGGGAGCTACTAATTTCTTAACAAACCATAACAATTAACTGTCACCCACCTGGAATAAAATCTCAATTCTTTCCCCACATTCTTTCTTTGTGACCTTTGATAAGTTGATAATCTTTCTGTGCTTCCATTTTCCTTCTGTAAAATGGGGATAATAGTGCCTTCCTCGTATGGTTGTTTTAAGTCTTAAATGAGCTAATACATGAAAACAGGCTTTTACCTGGAATGCAAGCCTTAAGCATGGATCAAAAAACAAAATAATAAACTCAATGTTCATTACATTCCAGATATTATTTTTATTGGGAATAGAAAATAATCTCTCTCTCTCTCTCACACACACACACACACACACACACACCTTCACTTAAACTTTTCAAGTAATCATTCAATTGTTCTTTGTGTTTTACAGTTAAACTTCTTGAATGGGTCTTTACATCATCTTTCCCAGTTCTTCCTTTAACCCTCTAGTCCTAATTTTTCATTTTATGTCCGTGGGCACAGTATTTAATCAAAGTAGTTGGATCTTTTTGAATTCTGGTAGTCATACAGTGCAAAGATCCCAGGCATGTGTAAGCAACGGTGATTGAAGACTGATGAAAGGATGCCTGCTGTTGGCTGCTTCCCATTTATTTCATTTTACTAGGAAAATGAAATGTCCCATTCTCACTTCAATCCATTCTATTTGCTCTTTCATTCCCACCACTGTACTTAACAATGTCACTGACTACCTTTATCTTGCCAAATCCAGTGTTCAATCGGCAGCCTCCTCCTATTTCAACCCTGTGCCCTCAGTCATCTTGGAAGGCCACATTTTAGGTTAGACAGAGGTTTCTTTTTGATATCTTCTCCTACCCCATCATGTGCCCTACTTGGGTTCATTTCCCACCTTTTACTGGAAGTTGTTCTTCTTTCTTCTGTTGCTAGTGCTTTTACTACAAACTGCTAGTCACACAGGAAGATCTCCAGGGTACCTATCTATATTGATTTAGTTTATTGATATTTTCAGGGGCAGTTAGAATTTCAAAGTAAAGTCCAGAGAGAGTCTGTAACGAAGGGGATGCAATCATAACGCTAAAATTTCAGGCTCTGAATTAGGCATCAGGAGAAATTTCTCAGCATGGAGGCTCTCCTGTGTCCTTTAAATCAGACCCCATGAAAATTCAGTCTCACTCACTTCTGACCAACCTGGACGAAGATTTGTCACCACTTTGAGTTTACTTCTTCAGATTGAATAATATGGGAAATTCAAGGTTAGCCAGAAAATAACATGCATAAGAGGTGATAGGAGAAGAACAGGAATAATTGCTTACACCTGTATCTCAGTATTTCTTTCTGACCTTTTGTTCTTGGTCTCTTCTCCTAAATGTCAAGTTCTTTTTGAAAAGCCTTAAGCATGGATCAACAAACGGTGTGTGGTCAGTAAAGTCTTATCAATTTAAGAAAACATATTGAATAATGAGAGATTTTGAAGTAAGGAAACCCTTAGCATGGGCTTAAATATTGTCCAGGAAGGAATGAACTTACAACTGAATTTATTCTTAAGTAACTGATAGGGACAAAATAAAGTGTTTTAAAAATAGCATATATAATATTAAAATATCTGAATCAATCAAATTAAAGTTGCATAGCTCGATGAGTGAGGTGTGTATGTGTGCCTGCATGGTGCTAAGTTTTCTGGGGCAGTTTACACTAACAGTCACCATGAGTAGTGCCAGGTTTCCCTAGATGAGATGTCGAACTCGTAGATACAAATCTGTGGCTGCAATAGTCAAAGCTCACTGCATATCCACTGTGACATGTTAAAACAGCACTTTAAATTCTGGCATATTCTGAAAAGAAAATTATGGTGAGATGGTGCTACTGCCAATTATCTGAATACAACTGACAGTCAAAGCAACCAAGTATGAAGTCAAGTTTGTGATTCCCCTTAGATTGCCAAGTTTTTTTTTTTTTTTTTCAACAGGGGGTTGAGTTCCTAATCAGATTTTCTTGATTCCGAAATTCAGCCTGGGCAAAACTGATTTTCCTTTATAAGTTGGTCACCAAATGGCCACATGGCCTGTTGTACACTACACAACAGTGGGCTTTATTTCTAAGACCTGCTAACATAAAGGAGACAAAGAATATTGATGAATAATCTAACACACAGTTGTAAAGATTTGAGGCTCATATGCACAGCAGGATGCTAAGTTAGATTCCTCAGACGTACTTTTCTCCCTTTACACCCAACCCAATGTCTCGGATATTCCATTGACTCAAGTGCTGCGAGGATCACATTTTCTGGGATTTCGTTTGCACTTGCCACCCCTTCTGCCAAGAATTCATCTTGTAAAATCAGGCAGGGAGAGAACTTTACTCTTTGGGGTGTCATATCAACCCATCAGCAAATCCTGTTAGCTATACCTGTAAAATAGATGCAGAATTTTACCACCTTTGACCACCTCTGTCACTTCCACTTGTGACCAGACCGTCATCATTTTCGCTTGGCATATTACAACAGCTTCCTCAACTGATTTTCCTCTTATATGCTTACTTCCTTGAAATCCTTTCTCTAGAAAACATCCAGAGTGGTCTTCCTGAAACTTAAGTTAGAAGTTATTACTGTTTACTAGAAGTCTTTTAGTGGCTTCAGATTAAATGAGTCAGGTTTAATGAGTCAGATTAAAAGGCAGGGTCCTTACCAGCAGTAGAACCAGCCACAGTGTCCCGTCTAAACCAGCTACCTGCCAGCTCACCCCTATAGCCACACAGGTTTCCTTCTGATTTCTCAAACTTCCAGGCACATTCCAGCCTTGGGGCTTAATTTGCACTTTCTGTTCCTTCAGGCTGGGATCATTTTCTCTGAGTTATCTACATGGCTGCTTCCTCCTTTCCTGCAGATCTCTGTTTAAATATCACCTTCCCAGAGAGACTTGTGATGACCAGCCTGTGTCTGGCGACATCCACCACACGTGCACTGTCTTTCTCTTCAGCCTGCTTCATTTCCCTTCTTGGCATTAATCCTTGCCCAACATGTTGTTCATTTTCCTTTATTATCTCTCTCCCCTCCCTGGAATTTGGCTTCATAAGCATAGGAGAGGCTTATGGGCTCCCTAAGTACTTTTACCATTGTGTCTACTATTGTATCCACTTACCTAGAAAGAACCTCTAATGTCCTTAAATATAATCGGGGGATTACCTACACCATTATTTCAAAACCTTTCTTTAGCAGATGAGGCTGTGGTCTAAACAAGTAAAGTGATTTTTCTGTTGTCACAAAACAAGTCATGTTTGGAAGAACTCGAATCCTTTTTCCTTTGCTATCCTGTTCCTAGACTCAAATCCTGGGACCATGTGTCTGTGGTCTCTTTGCATCAGGGGTGAGAGGCAGCTCTCCTATACTTAGGTATTCAATTTTTTCTTCTTTTTTTGAGACCGACTCTCGCTCTGTCACCCAACTACAGTCTTGGCTCACTGCAACCTCTGACTCCCGGGTTCGAGTGATTCTCCTGCTTCAGCCTCCTGAGTAGCTGGGATTACAGGTGCATGCACCATGCCCGGCTAGTTTTTGTATTTTTAGTAGAGACCATGTTGGTCAGCTGGTCTTGAACTCCTGACCTTGTGATCCGCCCGCCTCGGCCTCCCAAAGTGCTGAGATTACAGGTGTGAGCTACTGCGCCCGGCCTCAGGCATTCAATTTTTAAGAAACGAAACAGGATGACATATACTTTCTTTGCTATGGATCATTCCCTAGGGCCTCTACTTTCTTCATTCTCCATTTTATCCTAATTTCTCTCCTTTCTCTGGTTGTTCTGGGCACCACTTAATTCATTTATGATTTGTTCAAATTACACATACAATTTTGAGTCCTGGCCATTTATAGACTTCAGCATAACAATGTTATTGAATACCTACTATGTGCTACATGCCCATTCTCTTCAGGTGCCTCAGCAGAGTTTGAATTAACAATTGCATTGGTAGAGACACATATTTCTATACTGAAACATTTTCTTCCTGCCAAAGCCAAATGTTAAATGCATTTATTCTCAGCTGAAGTTCTAGAAAGCAAAATTGCATGGTTTGAGAGTGAAAAAATCAAAGTATCATTTTAGGATATGTCAGGTACAATTCTAAATCTGTGTGCAAGGGTTAGAGATTTGCTAAGTGCAGACCCAGGCTGGTATTAAAATTAGCATGCCTGTAGAATACTGAGGCGTAGGCAAGGTTGATGTGGCTGTACCTCAGAGGGCTGCATAGGTATACAACCTTTTTTACTGACTTTGTATTTATCTGGATACTTAGCCAGGCTTTGTTGGTGCAAATTTACCTATTAGCTTTGCTTCCTCTCTCCATCCATAAGCACAATGTGAGTGTGAATTCACCAGGTGCTATTCACTTCCTGGTCTTGCAGAGCTGAATTGATTCTCATAGTACACACAAAAAATCAGAAGTTAACTGTTTTCATAATTCACATCCAAGCAAACCCTGGCATGAGACATAATTCTCTTTACATTTTTTCATTCACTTGGTGATCACCTGACTCAGTAATTGTTTACCCTTGTACTGAAATTCTTAGAGAAGCCATCCTTAAGGCATTTTGTTTCAAGACACAAATAACCATAATAGAAAGCTACCAAGCTTCTGGTGGTCTTACCTCAGTTGCAGCTGAAACTCTTACAGCATCTTCACAGATATGATGGCTTTTTGTGCAAAAGTGAAAAAAATCAGCATAAAAGCAATCTTTTATGATGGTTTCAAAGGAGTAGATTTTCAGTATCTCAGAAATGTATGAAATAGAAACAGATGAAAGGAGACACAATCACAAAGGGAATATCCTCATGATTAATCAAAGACCATTCCATCATTGAAAAATGACTCAGTATTTAAGGTTTTCCTCTGCTCTTTGACACCAAAATTCTATAAAACTTTGAATTTGCAATATTGGAAATAAAAAGATAGGAAATTTTGTACTCTAAAATTTTTTGACAAAGTGAAATTCCATACTTAAAAGCATAGAATAATTGCTTTATGTTTCCTCTCAGATGAAAGCCTGAACTCCTGGGCCTGGCCTCAGAAGCCCTGGTTGCTGGAGTTTCCTTACCTTATCGCCTTAAATTCTTAGCAGGAATCATATAGTTTCTCTCTCCATCCTCATCTAGTTTCTCCCTCCATCTTAAACACTTTCTTTATACCTCTCTCTTGAGCATCTTAATCTTCAAGAACCTATGACAGTAATAAGCTACTGTTAGCCACTTAATGCCTGGATGCAGAAATTTAGTCTCTATCTTCAAGAAGCCTTCGCTCCTTGCCTCAGCTAGGGTTTGCTCTAGTAGCGCTCACCAAGCCCCCGAGCTCTCTTATCCAGCCCGCTGCAGCATTACAGGCTATTTTGAAGTGGTGATAGATCCTAAACTCCCCAAGAACTCCAAACATAGCTTACATGTCTCTTATATTCCCCAGAGTGCTCAAGAAAATATGAAGCACATGGTTTAGTCAATGTTTGGTGACTTGATAATTTCGGGAAGAAATCAACATTGTTTTTGAAAAAGGACACGTTCTCATGTTTAGGCATGACCAGGTGAGGTTAAGGTAATTACCACTGGCAAGAGGTTTCTTAATGAAAATGTCAAGTGGCCTGGAGACCACTATACTTCACACTCAGCATCTCTCAAGTGGCATTCCTCACCCACAATTAACACTTGTATTTTGGATACTTCTTTAACATCCGTAAAAATCCTAAAATATTTTCTTTATATAGAGCACTCAAAAACACCTGCAGTGAGTTGCAACACTAGGAATCTACAATCCCAGTGTATGAGAGTATCAGTCAAAGCATTTTCCAGAAAATAAGTAACTGAGTTGCTTAAAATAGACCTTTCTATACCATCATTATGAAACAATACGTTTATATAATACTTTACAGTATACAATACACCTCACATTTCTTATTTTGTTCTCGTTTGCTTTATATTATTTTATCTCAACTTAATCTTTATATCTAGATTTTCATCCATTATCAAATAAGAAGAAACTGAGGCTTACAAGTTGTGGTGGTGCTGAGCTATCTAAGATGAATAGAAAATATCTGTGACAGAAATTTAATTAAGGTTGCTTGTTCTTCTTCCTACCATGGCAGTTTCCACTCCCATAATTCTGTAATACAAATCCTGGAGGGCTTTATTGCTTATAAAAGAGAGCAAAGCTGAGAATATTCCCTTAAACAACTTTTCTCAGAAAGTTCAGATCCACATGAGAGCAACATCTGCAGTCTTTGTTTAGTATACAATTCCCTTTTAAAATATATCGCTGCACCCTATGTGCCATGCACCCACACATGAGATGAGCAGTGTCTTTTTTGCTGAGTGAGTAACTGAGATTAAGGTAAACTAGGGAAATGTGGTACTGAGGCAGGGTTCTATAAACTTCTGGCCAGTAAATTTCTCTTCATGAAAAAAACCTGTTTCAAAAACCTGGGGCAAAAATCTATTCTCTTTTGCATTATGGGGATGATATTACTCTATGTTCTTTAGCAGGTTATTAATCTGGGGTGACATTAACTCAGTTGAAAGGTGTTTATTTTTCAGAGTAATCTTGAGCCTCTCTTAGAGAGTGTTGTTTTAACATTGTTAACAATCTGAAAGCTTATTAATCTTGTCAAGCATCAATCTTCTCTTTGATAGATGGGTGGGGTATTCATTACTTTTCATGCTACAATCTCCAGTGAGGCATATTTCCAGATACACATACCTGTCTGTGGCTCCTTTCCTTAAACCTGGGCTGTGACCTGCTTTAATGAACGAATGTGGCAAAAATGATGGTATGCCTGTTTCATGCTGAAGCCTTAAGACCTGGAAACTGCCACCTTGGGGTTCTGGGGGAATCCAGCTTCCATATTAGGAATTCAAGTACCCTGAGACCACTATATGGTGAGCAGCCCCACCTAGCCATGTGGAGCAGCTGTGGAGAACTGAGGCCTCTGCCAGCCAGCCCAGCTGAGTTCTCAGGTGATAGTTAGCATCAATTTGCTGGCCACATGTGTGAGGTCATCTGAGCAGTGGGGTCTTCAAATTCTGCCAAGACACTCTAGCTGATGCCCCATGAAACAGAGACGGACTATCCTTGCTGAACTCCACCCAGATTGCAGAAATGTAAGAAACTGAAAAAAATTATTGCTTATGATCCAATAAGTTTTTTGGGATAGTTTATTGTGTAGCAATATATAACTAAAGCAACAAATAACTAGCAAGAGTCATCCAAATAAGCAGAATAGATAAACCTGCTGAAAAAAAAAAAAAGAATTAAAAACAAAAGCTGTTGTCATTCATTGTACTGGATTCCTGGCCCATTCCACCTGTCTGGCCGCTTATGCCTCTCTCTACGTCTTCTCCTTTGTTCCTCTTCCCAACTCCCCAGCCACGTGCACTATTTCCTTTTTCCCTGAGGTCATCAGCACTTCTGGTCACATAGAACAAGGTATATACTATCAAAACACAAGAAAACAATACCAAAACAGCAGCGCCAAAAAACGAGTGGAAAGTTTTTATATACTAATGGGCAGGATAAACAATTTTGAATTAATTCCATTAATTGTTGCCAGCATTTAAAGAACAAGATTTGTTTTTATTTTATTGACTGCTTTTTGTCATCCTGCTAATTAGTCTTATCTGAAGCCACCATATTTTAAATGAAATCCATTTGATCTGTCTTTACTATCTACACCAGCAGTGGCTCTAGTTCTATAGCTCATATTCTTGAAAGGAATTTAAAATCTGTATTAATTAATGAAGTTGGCACCCAAAGTCACAAAGCAGGACATTTTTTTAACTTTTCTCTGCCACAGTTTATTTTGCTTTCTAATGTTTTTCTTTAGCTACTGAACAAACTTTCTAGTTTATAAAAATTTATTACCATGAACTCTAACCAAGTGTCTTGCAACTTCATAGATTTATAGTAAAATTAACAAGAAAATGTTCAAGAACATAACAACCTAAAGTTTACTATTATGGTTGTTACTAAGTGTTTATTAATCAAAGTTTTAGGTGTTTCATCAGAATATGAACAGTGATAGTGATTAAATTTATTTTTTAGGAAAATATTTTCTTTCTTTAGTAACATATTGTCTTTCTACCTTTCTCTAAATAACCAAAATCAGTTAATAGTACATTTTATCATGTTTATAGTTTTGCACTTAATAAACATATCTGCAAGAGACACCAGTTTAAATATTCTCTTATATATGTTGTTCATATATGTATTTGTATTTTGTGTATATGTGTGTATTATATATGTTGTTCATATGTGTATTTGTATTTTGTGTATATGTGTGTATTATATATGTTGTTCATATATGTATTTGTATTTTGTGTGTATGTGTGTATGTGTTTTATATATATATATATATATATATATTTTTTTTTTTTTCCCCCATTTACACTTGTCTCAGCTTAAGAAAAAAATTCAGTCTGGCATGGTGAGAAGCCAACCTCAATTGAACACAATAAATTGTGTTTATTTTTATGAACTAACAATTATATCTCCTAGTCTTTCTCAGACTCAGTTTTCTTGTCTACAAAATGATATAATAATTCTTAACCCCTTGTAGTTCTTGTGACCATTTCATCAGACCACAGGTGTGAAAGTGCTTAGCACAGACAGCTGATGTAGAATAGCCACTTAGAAAATATTTATTAAAACTCACTCTGAATAGTTTGAATACTTGTATTTATTGAGTTAATAAGTAGGATGCTCACTAGTACATATCTGTACTACTGCCAGCATTTGGCAGTTCTGTTGGTTCCTGGGTAATTACATTGCACTTTACTTCTGTGTATCATCTGGATAATAAAATAATCTCTTCTTTTCAGATACATGAGCAAGTTATCTGAACACACTGAAAGTGGTAAGAATGCATAGAGTAGGTTTCATACCAAGCCCAGCTCCCCGATAGGGTGAATTATTCAGATGATGGATGCAATTATTTACATACTGTAACAAAAAGTGGGTGATCATTTATCCATTCTGGGCAACAGAAACATAAAGTTGACTCAGACACATGACGTTTTTCCTAGGAGATCTCAGAATCTACCTAGGGAGACAAACACACACCGAACTGACTGTGATCTATGTTACAATAAGATAATGGTTAAATGTAAAGAAAAGAAGATCTGAGAATCACAAAGAGATAGTAACTGATTCTAAGGAGATCTAGAAAGGCTTCACGGAAGAGGGAGACTATGAACAGAGACTTCAGAGGTGAAATAATTTGGATGAACTTTCAGGGGACTGGTCCCAGTCTATCCAGCTCTGTTGTAGGCATTTTAGATTGTCCTCCAGACCTGCACTCCATCCTTCTCCAATCTGCTCTGTGATGAGGGTTTCTGGCCAAAAGAGACTGCCTCAACTGTCTCCCTTGCCCTCTGACTCCAGGTTGGTTTTAACCAATGGGGGCGCTGTCGGTCGACAGGAGAGAGGGAGAAGAGTGAGGTTAGGAATACTTGTCCTCCTGGTTTCCTCCCTGCAGTGCTGCAGTGGGCTGATTGCACCCTCAAATTTAGTCTCAGGTCTGCAGTTCTGCTGAGCAGCCTCTACTTCTGGATTTCAGCTACTTCTCCCTCCCCTTGTAGCCCTTCAATTCTGGGATACTTGCATTATCACTTGTCATTTCTCAATACCCGGCATATACCTTTATAAATAGACCCTTCATTATGCTTTACTTAGGTTATCATAATTTTATTGTTCTATTTCCTGCTGAGTCCTTAACTGGATATACTTGATTTTACAAAACTTTGTGGGCGTTTACTCATGAAAAGATGGCTGCTTGATTTCCCAAGATGTCAGGCCATTTTCATCTCTCTATTTTGACCTTGCTGCCTCTCTGTCAGGAGCACCTGGCCATTCCACTCATTATTCAAGACTCTTAGTTTGAAATCTCATCTTTGGATCACTATCATGGGGTCCGTTTCCTTCTTTTAACTCTACATAACATCATTCACATATACTAGTCATGGTCTTTGCCACAGTAGAATATGAGTGTATCTACTTTTCTCTCCCATTGAAATGAGACTTCCTCAAGGGTAGAAATCACATTTCTTACATCTTCAAGAATAGTCATTCACATAGTTGTTATCATACAACTTATTACACTGATCAAATTTAGTGGACTGATTTAGTGTTTTATCCAGTAATCAATAATTAATAATATTAGTTTTCTTGTGTTCGCTTGATGAATTTAAAACAATCTTTGACTTGATCTGTGGAAGTCCAGGTTAGAAGACTGATTCCTTAATACCTGGGTGATGAAATGATCTGCATAAGATACCCCCATGACACATGTTTACCTATATAACAAACCTTCACATGCACCCCAAAATTAAAATAAAAGTTAAATAAAATAAAATAATCAAAAAGAAGATTTATTCCTTTAGATGAAAACTTTGTTGTGGGTTAAACTAGTTTGGTGTTTCCTAAGTCTTTTTAGTTCAGGGATGCAAATTTCATAAGAAAGAACATGTTTAATTATTTGTTCTGTGATTTATCAGATACCTCTGTTTTACTTTACAGTCCTTCTTTCTTTGGCAGCCTGATGTTGTTAACATGCAGTATTTTTTTCTGCCAGGATTCACATGACAGATGGATGTCACTGACAGGCATAACCTATTTTATGGTCTGTAACATAGGTAAATATATGCGGCTTCTGCAAAATTCCATACTTCCTTCTACTCAACAAATTATGTCACTAAACTGAAAAAGAGTGATATCATAGGGCTAGACTAGATTGAGCCTTATTTTAATTCGTTTTATGAAAAAACATGATTTATTACTATAGCTAGTTTTTTGTTTTGTTTTTTAAAAATTACTTGGGAATGTGACATAATCACACAAATGTATAAGATCTTTCTAGTTTCTTAGAAATTGGCTTTTTAACTACCCACATATAAAGTCATGAAAAGAGATACAATGCAAGCCAGTTCTGCTTTTTCATAACAGATATGATTAAGCAGGATATTAAAAAGAAGTTTCAAAGTATGTCTCTTTTCTTAATTTCCCATACCTTCCTCTCCTTTACTGTGTCCAATGAAGGAAAAATTAAGAAGAAAGACTAAATATTTTGAGTTAAAAGCATTAACCTATTCAAATAATTAATAATTATTGGCTCCAAGACCTTCTTGGATTCTACTTCAGAATTACCCCCGAAATGTCACCAGCATCATTCCTTGTTCTGTCTGTATCTCTGTTTTGGATTTTAAGAGAGTTAAGTGACATGGCTTCTAAGCCCAGGATCTTTCGTAGTAAAATCACAGGTGAAAATGCCATCAATTTCTTGTTGCCTTGTTTTCAGGAACAAACTAGTTTGATGTTATTTCTTCTTCGATTTTTCCAGGACATCACATTCAATTCTCAACTGTCCTGTTTTTGAAGAAAGATAAGACTTTGGTTTTGATTGAATTTTCCTTGAGATCAGTTATTGCCGAGTCCAGTTTATTAAAGAACTAACGTGGTATCAGTTCTGAATTCTCTGAGGTCATACTCAAGTTCATCTTTGAATTAAAGAATTTTTTTTTAAGTGTGAATCCCAAGGTATACTTGTTTCTTATGCAAGGGGAGAGAGAATAAGTAAGCGGTAAAATAGGAAGATTATTCTTCCAGTTTGGTATTTCATGCCATTTCCTTAAATTTGCACAGATGTTGATGCAAAATGTGTACTTGTTAAGCTACTGTTTTGTTCATTTGTTTTTGTTATGGACATGTTACAAACTTCTCAAGTTTTATTTAAAATAAATATTTGTGGAGCTCTTAGAAGGAAATGCTTTTCTCCTTTGAGACTTGAAAGGTGAGTCAAGAAGGAAGTGTGGTTAGGTACCAAACTAAGAAGGGGATGTATGGCTGCTCGCCTTTAGTGCCTAACAGTGCTATGGATGGCAATTTTATGTGCTTGCTCTTGTTGGAGAGAAATCTATGTCCAGAGATGCTGGAAAAAGTGGAGCTACATGTGTTCAACTTATACCACAGGTGAGTTTGCTATTGTACACCTCTGTGAATAATGCAGCTTTGTAGGCAGCACACCTGTGCAAATGAGACAACTCTTTTCACGGCAAACCTAAGAAGATGGGAATATTCATGTCTGAGTTTTGGTTGACCAGTTTTTCCATGATTTCCTAAAATGTATAGCATGTACATTTCCTAAAATTTCCACCGTTTAGAAGTCTCAAACTTTGGAAAAGCTTTCTTTTTCTGTTACCTCTCCCGACCATGCAAATGGTCAGGATCTTAAGGCGAGAAGTCGTAATCAAAATCACATGCAGAAAACTGAAAGAACAAAACAAACCATCTTAATGTCAAATTTCTGCTCAGAAATCTTTAATTTTATCTACTGGTTTGGTTGCATGAGTTCTAAAATTCTTAATGTGGCAATTGAGGCCCACGACAATCTGAATTTGTCACCTCATTGCAGTTGTATCTCCCGTATCACCCCCATAGACACCGAGCAATTCTGCCTGGTGTGGTCTTGATTGTCACCATACACAATGCTTACCCCTGACTTTGTATCTTTTTTTGGGATCTGTCCTTACTAAAAGTTTTAATTTTCTTGTATTTCCAGCAGCTATACATCCTTCTACTCCAGCTAGGAAATTCTGTCATGTGAGGAGCTCTCATTGGCCATCGGCCATCTTAAGATCCATTTTTTTTTTTAACTTTTCTGAGCTTCTACAGAATTAATTTTTTTAAATTTATTTATTTTCAAGATGGAGGCTCACTTTATCACCCAGGCTGGAGTGCAGTGGTGTAATCTCCACTTACTGCAACCTCCATCTTCCGGGTACAAGTGATTCTCTTGCTTCCGCCTCCCCAGTATCTGCGATCACAGGCATGCACTACCATGCCCAGCTAATTTTTGTATTTTTTTTTTTTTTAGTAGAGACGGGGTTTAACCATGTTGGCCAGACTGGTCTTGAACTCCTGACATCAGGCGATCCACCCTCCTTGGCCTCCCAAGGTGTTGGGATTACAGGCGTGAGCCACTGTGCCCGGCCAGAATTTATTTTCAGTGTGTATATTTTTTTGTTCCAAACAAGCCATTGTTGTTTTGTGAGTATGCTTCTCTTCTCTCCTACCAAATGCTGATTATTTCCTCTTCTGCCTCCTGAGTGGGTGACTTTGTTGAGGATAGGGACAATAGCTCCTGTATTTCTTTTCCCAGACTCCAAGAGATGGATCCCTATGAGTACTGGCTGGGCTTCTCCTGCATCTCCTCTCCAAGGTCCTCCTGAAAGGACTTGGGCCTTCCCCAATTCTGGTGCCTTTAGTCTGTGAGTCTCCAGAAGGCATGGCCTGTGTTTTTTCCTCTTCAGTTTCTCTCACTTTGAATTTTCTATTGTCCAATTTAGGCGTTCTGCTCTTCTGTGTGTTTACCTCATGAAGCCATCCATGACTACATTAGGTCTCCTTGGTCCCTGTTCCCAAAACCCTATAGCATTTGAATTTAAATCACATACAACCAGGGAGCCAATTGTGTCAGCACAAATGGCAGATATGTGTGTGTGTGTTTGTGGGGGGTAGAGGATGTTGTTGAGGTACAGATGCCATCTGGTAAACCTCTTCTATTAAGAAGTAGAAGGACTGCAGCTGCCCAGTCAATGCTTACGGATGATTCAATATGGAATGATAATTCTGCTTTACTATCTTCTGTCTCCTTCTTCCTGCAGGTTGTTCCCAGCTATTCAATAATTCAACTTTTAATTTTTTTTGGCGAATGTCTCTGAGCCACTTCTTACCTGTCTCCTTCTTTAGTTTTCTATGTCCTGAAAGTCATGTTTCAACCTTAGCATTTTATACCTTGTGCATGCTATCTGATCATGTTTTTACTTCCTATCATTCTTCTTGTTTGGCCTGGAATCTCACACCATCACCCCATGTTCAGTACATCTAAGTGGAACTTTGTGATTACCTCTGCTGCCCTTTTAAGCCCCTTGTCCTTATACCTTAAATACTAATCCTCAGACTTGACTTCAGTCTATTTTGGTGACTTATTAGATTTTTCTTTTAGCTTTCCTCCAGGGGACATCAATTTCCAACCACCACAAGCACAGGTGCAACTTCTGCTCTTATAATTCCCACCCACACTCCTAACTCCACTCTATCTCCTGATAACACCATATTAAGTCACTAATGGCTAGAGTTTGAAAGATTGAATGTTAAAAGCATAATTAGAGACTTAAGGGAAACAAATTGTACCCATAAAATTTAGAATTAATTTCAGGAAAATAGGGCAATTGAAGCACCTTGTGCAATTGGAAATGACTTTTCTAAATCAGCGACTGTGCCTGAAATCAGCCCCCTCCTAACTTCCTCTGCTTCCTTCTTGTTTCCTTCTAAGAATAAGGGCAGGTCGGTGGGGGTAAGTTTGGTAAACAGCAATGCGTATTGCTTGTCAGGATATCAACCACAAAGAGCTCACCTTAAAGTTAAGCTTTCTCTCTGTAATGGAAATAGAAAATGGGAGGAGGTGTGTGGGTGAGACCAATTATTGCCCTTGGGCGAGCTCCAGAAATTGCAAGAGCAGAACCTGGGCATTCAAAGAGGTAGTTACTTCTGAGCCCAGGTTAATCCCATCAGTCAGTAATTTCTCATTTCTTATATCCAACACTAACAGTACTATCCCAATTCATACATAATATGTTACATACTTTCAGTTCCCTGGTGCCCAAGTTCCCCTGCCCAAACAATATTGCCTTATGACAATGCTGGGCAGCTTCATTCACCAGTCCAAACCCATCCATTCTTCTAGGCATATCACCGCTTCTCCTTACACAGTCAAAAAGCCCTCTTTGACTACTACAGACCTCACCCGTCTCTCTCTGATAGTTCTATGCCATGCAAAGACTGAAAAAAAAAAATAGTAGCAGCCCCGTGACAGGGACTGTGTGCTATCTGCATGAGTACAAAGGAGAGTAACATATGACTCCATATATATAGTCTAGTATAAGTGGTAGCAGAGAGATACCTGTGATTAGGTTGCTATAGGATCAAGACAGAGATATTGACAGGCCCTGTCCCTTCTTCTCCTAGTTCTGTGTTTACAGACAGGTCATTTCTCTGATCCTTAGCTTTTCCATCCTTAAAACGATGAAATTAACAATTATTTTATAGGGTGCCTTAATACTTTAAATGGGATAATGAATGTAAAATGCATGGTAAAGGTCTGACCTATAGTGGATGTGAAATAACTGTTTTCTAGTTGGCATTCAGGCTGAAAATGGTTAAAGAGACTCTAATTACATGTTTGTTACAATTTAGGGCTGTCAGCAAATTCGAGTTGGCCTCACCTGTCACCCAATGTTTATTATTCTCAAGGGGATGAGAATGAACATTATGATGGATTAGGGCATCTTCAACCTTAGTCTTGGAAACCCATGACTATGGCCAGCAGCTAGGATTTTTGTTGTTGTTAGAAACATAAGGAGAGCAAACCCATGGGGTCTGATTTACATCAGGTTGTTGAGGTTGGGTTGGCAGTGAACATCTAGAAAATGTGAATAAAAACAATGCAGGCTCAGAGAACTAGAGAGTTCTCTGAAAGATTAACTATACAAATTTCTACTCTGGGGAACTTAGTAGAGAATATTTTTCCAAAATATCTGATTCCCTGTGGTCCTCAGCTGTCTCTTTTTTGGTGAAGCAAAAAGGAGGGAACAAAGAAAATCTAAAAAAATCCAAATTGAAATACAGATTTAAAACAAGCAAAAGGAAGCCCTCACACAGCTTCTCTCACTGGGCTATGGAGTCATTCTGTGAATTGTGCATGAATTTTAATAAAACCTGTGTCTGTCTTTTGTGAGAAATAAAAAACTATTTCTTTTGCTTGACACTTTCTTGTGGGAGGCAAGTCTGGTAGGCAAAATCTCATTCAATATCCCCTTAGACTGCTCTGAGAACCCTAGGAGCTTAGGGACCCCTGTTCCTTTTGCTTGAAAGTAAAAATGACTTAACATCTAGGCACACAGAGAGCTAAGAAGAACTTTGTCAAATGAGGCAGCCCGACGGTGGCTCATGGACTGTAATCCTGAAAGCTCAGGTCACTACCACCTTGTCTATGGAGAAAGCCCTTAGCAGGCATATGGAATGTTTTCTCTTCTTACATCTCCCGGAGGCCCTTAGCAGGTCTTTTGCAATTTATATTTGATCACATTTAGGACCAGCGTCAATGGGTCATAAAACCAGAGCAAGCCAAAGCTGGGAGGTCATGACACTCGTTCTTGTCTTTCCCCTGTTTCCACAGAGCGGGAAAGACACCCAGAGGGATGAGGTGATAGGCGGGATGGCTTTGCTAATTTCAGGCTTAACCCAAGGTACAAACATGGGCTCCGGACTCTCAGTCCAGTGCTCCACCTACTAAAATGAGCTGCCACGACAAACACTGAGCAGTGCAGGAACTGTCAGAGATGAGAGGAAATTGTGCTTGTCACAACGTATTGCCTCCCTCTCCATTTAGGAAAATGGCAGTAAGTGGGTAACGATAACAAAACTACCACAGATATTGCCTATGTTGTACTCAACTACAGGAAGCACACTGAACATTTATAATGAGCAAATGTAATAAGACAGCGTACTGAGTTAAGTAAGGGAGCAAATATGTAAAGGATTATGCCCCTTTCCCCTAATATCTCCAGAGCAGTTGGGGAAATGTACCTTTGACTCTTATACCAGGGGTCAATGACAGGTACTCAATTTTAAATTCTGTAAGGGAATGATTAGGCACCACAATCTCTAAGTGTTCATGAAGAAGGTGGGGGAAAGGATGCTACGGATATAAAGAGCAGGCTCTGAAAGGGAATCTGAGGAGGCTTCTCAGAGGAAATGGCATTTTCAGGTGGAATATGCATAGAGACAGTACTTTGGTTGGTAAATATGGAGAGGGGATGATGATAATTACATCCAGAAAAAGAGTAATGGCATTTGTTGAGGGGAACATCTAGAAGAGAGAAGAGGGGATTGTGACTCAGGATAGTAGAATAGGGAGTCGATCAATACAACTGATATCCTGATCAAGTGAGACGAAGTCCAGGTAGGGGCTGGGTTGTAGGAGATGTTGCATTTTTCTTCTTTATTCACTACCAGGAAATAAAATTCTAAGCTCTCAGAATAGAGGAGTGACACAGATAAGATCTTGATTTCAGAAAGATTCCGTTCTTAACAGGAGCACATTATGACTTTCTTGAGCCGTAGGCACTCTTGCTTTTATAGGCTACTTCTTCCATAAAAAATATATACTTAAATTTATATTTTACAACTGCATTCGCATAAATATGAATATATTAATATTATACCTTAAAACATTTTCTTTAACCTAAAAGTTCATTTTAAAAAATTCTGAGTTCAAAGAAAATTAAACCATTCCATGGGCCCCTTAAAGGTATTGTGAACCCTAAGTGCCCCACCTATGGCCTAATGGATAAGTTGGCCTTGACTCTAAAAGCAATGTTTAAAATGCTTTAAGGGGCAAGTATGGAAACAGAGACCAGGGAAGAACTTTTGTTAATGGTTTAGGTGAGAGTTAAATTTAACAGTCACAAGTTGTAATGTATGCAAAAATAAAGAGGGAGAAAATGTTCTGAATTGATCTTTCACAGAAATCACAAAGAAAATCTAAATTTAATAAATAAAAACAACAAGCATATTCATTGATTTTAATCACTGTGAGGCTAAGAAATATCTCCAAAAGAGCTGTATATTATCATCCAAATTAATTTGAACTTTTATGGTTTATATTATACTGAAGATTGTTTATAGAAGAATTCAATACTTTTCTGGTTTTCTTGCTCAGACCTCTGCTACTTATAAGTATGCCCGTGTGTGCACACAACCTTTTTCATTTTTCAATTACTGGGTTATTCTAAGCTGCACCTACATCAAGGTCATGTATTTGACCTTCCAAGGTGCTTTATCTGATTTCTTGGGGGATTCAGGGCTATCACCTAAGACTGTTATTTCTTCTAATGGCTAGTAAAATCCTTTGTCTGTCTCTGAAGGAAGCTTTCTCCTGAGTCAGTTTGGCTTCTTTCTTGCTCCCTTGTAGAATTTATGACTTTGTGCAAAACCTCCCCACAGACCCTGGGCTCCGCAGCTTTCCTGGTGGTGATGTCTTGGCAGCATGGCAGTGGGCTCACGTTCTCCGGGGAGATGCTTTCCTTTGCTACCATCAGAGGCATATCTTCTATCTACAAGTCTTCTTAGGCTTTGACTGTGCGTCCTTACATGAAGCAATTCACCGCTGCCCTCTGCAGCTGTTTCACTCAGCTTCTCACCTACAGGGCTAAAGATCCCCAGTCATACAAAAAATTTTAATAAACCCCAGACTTCTAAATAACATTTAGCTCCATGCTGGGGAGCTTATCAGTTCAGATTAATAAGTTCTCTGTCCTCACAAAAGTTGGTTGTATTGAGAGAAGAAACCCATCCAAAGATATTAAAATGACAGGAGGAGGCAGTATGCATGAAGAGGGTGGTTGTTTCCAGGAGCAGAGGCCCGAAGGCCTGGGGAGGTGCTGGGAAGTTCTGTAGAAGGAATCTGGGGTGGGAATTTAGCTGCAACATTGAGCATGCACATTCCAAAATTTGTTTCAATGCAGAAAGAAATATTAGAATTTATATTTATGTATCTTATCCTTTTAAAATATTCTAAAATATACATTTTACATAATAGCCTATGCAGATGGTAATGCTAGTATATAAATTAGAAATGAATAATTATGTATATCCTTGGAACACCTGCTGAATTCCTTTTACTAGTAGACAGGACAATTAGCAAGGTGGTGAGACTTCTGATTTAGGTGCTTATAGATCATTACCCTTTTGACTTCCTGTTTCCCTAGTCCTAATGCAGTAACCATCTATTTCAGGCAAAGGAATTTCCTCATTGTCCCTTGGAAACACTGTGATTTTTCCACTTCAGCAACATTGGCTTTGTGGATTTTCAGATATTTTGAAAATCCCACCACTTCCCCTCCATCTCTCCAAAGGATGAGCAGCTTTCAGAGCCCAGTTCAGGTTCCTTCATCCATGCTGCACTCTGTGGACACTCTAACTCAAACTGTTTCCCCTCTGTGGGTAGTTAGCCAAGAATTTGTAGTCAGTCAACCAACAGCGCATATGTTGATAGCTTTGTCCTAAGGTGGTGCTGTGCATGCATCTCTGACTGTCACCGCAACTTGGTTCTAAGCTCCCGGAGGCAAGGTCTGTGTCTTTCATTTCCCTGGAATCCCCTTCTGTGGTGGTTACTGGGGTAGGCCATGGTAGGAACTGGGGATGACCATGATGTCTAGTTCACTGAGCTTTTGTGAACTCTAGTAAGTTACTTGTTCACAAGTGTTTGGTAAATCACTGAGGAGTGTACTCCCATGAGGGTAGGTGTCCCACACAGATGAAGACAGAAAGGATGGATGCTTGGGTGGGTTGCAGAAACATAGCATAGTAGAAAGACCATAGCATTACATAGCTTTAATATCAAAAGAGCCAGGCTCAAATTCCAGTGCCGTGATTCATAAATTCTGGGTAAGTCTCCTAAATCCTCTCAGTCTGCTTCTTCATTTGTAAACAAAAGTAGATCCAGGAGGCGATACAGATTAGGTATCATATAAGTCAATCCTACAGTAGGCGTTCTATGTATGGTAGGTGTGTTCATAACCTCCTGGGCACACATTGGGAGCTCACTAAGTCCTGTTTCTAAACCAGAGAGGGGATCCATATACTCATACACCAGTCGCTTGTCATTTCAGGGCCTCACATAGGCTTCCTGGTTGGCATTATCTGTCTGGCCATGCCCACTTAGTTTTTAAAGAATTTATAGGCCTTGCACTTACAGACTGAGATTTGGCTTTTAATTCTGCTCCAGCAGAAGCCCCACAGAGGTCCCTGACACATCCCCCTCAGCTCAGCCCCCTCCTCACTTATTACCTAGGGGTCTTCCTTTTGTTATCTGACTTTGCTGACTAGAACAGTTAATGAAGAGGAAGCCTCAGATCCTTGTGTCGCTGGTCTTTGTTTTTGTATTTTGTTCTGTTTTACTTCGTTTTTGCACCTGAAAACAGGCAGCGTGCCTAGGTTTTCTCCAGGCATCGTGGGATGAGCAGATTTAATTGCTGCTGAAGGGCTGGTACAAAAGGTTATCCTACAATGTGAGATCTTATTTGGCACTGAACTTTGAAGCTGAGAATTATGGATTGTGGAACAAGATACAACCGTCTGCTGCTGTCCCAGAGCCGGGAATATAGAATTTAGAGGAAACTGGGTTAGAGCTGATGGGACCTCTCAGGGAGGTCAGGAAGAAACTAACTAGCCATCCATAAAGCTGTCGGAGCAGTTATTTAAAGGAAAAGGCCGAGGCTTCTCTTCCATGTTTCTAAAAACTTCAAATAAAAATAGACAATTCTGCATTGACATAGATATGAAATGGGCACCAATCGAGGGCATCAAACTCAGAAATAAAACTAAGGTAACCTGTCATTGCTTTGAGGGAAAACTGTGAAATTGGTAGCCACAGCCCAGGCTGAGAGATGATGAACGAGGAGAGAATTTTTCTTTCAGTCTTATCTAAAGCCACAAGAAAAATGGGAAAACCAGAGAGTTGAGGAAGGGGACGGGTCCTCACACTATCGATACAATTGCAGGGCAAAGCTGGGAGCTGTGTCCATCACTGCTTCAGTTGGACCTTGATGAGGCTGAGCTGGGATGTCTGCTTACATTGGAGAATTTTACCTCCCATGTTCCCTTGCTGTCAGGCTGTCTGGCATTTTGTAACATGATGTCTGGAAGCCTAGGCTGCGTCCTGATAAAACTGGAAGGTATGCATATAGGACTTCCTCTCTGCCATCCCTTGAGTGAGTGTTATTATCTAATCCTCTGTTCTTTTTGGGCATTTAATCTATTTATTATTCCTGCAAGTCTGTATTGCGTGTGAGGCAAGCTATTAATTATCTAGCTTACTGCAAGTGAGCAGAGGTTAGTACCCCTAAGGGTCTTTGCCCTGAATGGAGTAGTGATAGAGCAAAGGAGTTGAACTAGACCCTCTGACACCTACTTGAGTCCTGCAACTTGCTGGCCATTTGACCTTGGGAAAGCTCCTCAAAGACAAGAACTTATTCTCTCTTCTCCAGCTATCACCTGTTTCTACTATCATGCTCCAGCTGGGACTGTCAGGCTTACCCCAGCTCTTAGTCTAGTTTCCAAGTACATTTCATGGCAGGAATCTCCCTCTCCATAAATTAGCGCACAACATCTTTGGACGGGCCTGAATACTACAGAGGTTTCCCTGCTGGTAGAATGAAAAGTTTGCAAATCTGCTGATTCATCAAGCCGACACAAAGGGTTACTGCTACTATACATCAAATCGTAACATTTTCTTGGAGGCTTATTTTTAACAAAAACATATCCATTTGGCTACAAGGATGACCTTTTCTGCCTCCTTACCCCTCCATGCTGGAAGTCTTCATTTCCTGATGCCTGCTGCTAATATAGGACACATGTTGAAATGTTTATGCTAATTAGGCTTTGATTGGAATCTCAGAAACAAGTTAAAATGACAAGTTTTATTGCATTGATGAATTAATTAATGAAATGAAATCATTGTTATGCTGTTTGAAACCAGTCCTCTGATTTTTGCAGGAGGCAGGTGGATTTTCTACTCTAAAAATCTAGTCGTTTTATCAGAAAGGAGTGCAGGATTTACGTGTTGTTCTCAGGTGGGAGTACTGTGGGAATAAAGAAGGATCATCCTTTTGATGAACAAGTGAGTAGCGATGGTGGATGATGAGAACAGGCATTCATTCATGTGAATGTGCAAACAAATGGAAAGGAGATATTAATAGAACAGGTGATGGAGAAGAATCAGTGGTAGGTGTCTGTGGCACTGATAAATTGCAGTCTCCCCACATGAACCATCTTCAGAAATTCAGCTTTTCCATGGTGTCTCAGTGTGTTCTGGATAGCATGCTGATAGGGTCAGTCATCATTCACAATGGGTCAAAGCCCTTTAGGAACCACACTTTAAAAAACACTTAAAAATTAATATGTTTGTGTGATAAGGAAAATATATATTCTCAAGAAAGTAAACATGAAATAGACTAGCTGTCCAGGAAATGAGTCCTTTCATTTGAGTTGTTTGACCATGGCAAGTTTATCCTGTGATGAGCAATGGATGTATTGACACTCAGAGGTACCTGGTTAATTCAATAGTCTCAGACTTCAGAGCATCCCAAATAGGGCAGGGGGCTTTCCCACAATCACACAATCAGCTCATGATGAAATGAGACTAATCACATATTTTCTCATTTAGTTTAGAATTTTTTTGTTGCTTTGACTGTGTGAAATGATGAATAATAATAGTGTCAAAAAATTCAAAGAAATGAAAGCCCAAAGAGAATAAATGACTTTCTGGAGACCACCCAGCAGGTTGTGAGACAGACACCCACCTGTCTCACAAGACACCCGCCAAAGCTGTCGATAAGCAAACTCAGACTGTGTTGCTCTTGGCCTCTCTAATCTCTGAGTTAATGTTTAAAGTAAGATTCTGTGGTTTGAATGTCCTCTCCAAAGCTTATGTTAAAATGGAATTGCTATTGTGATGGTATGGAGAGGTGGGACCTTTAAAAAGTAATAAATCATGAGGGCAGAGCTTTCACGAATGGACTAAATGGCATTATCTTGGGAGTCAGTCAGTTATCCTGGGGTGAGTTCAGGCCAATTTTCTTTCTCTGTCTTGAGGGTGTGCTTCCTCACCTCACGATGCCCTTCCACCACGTTGTGCACAGGGAAAGGGCTCTCACCAGATGTGGTGCCTCAATCTTGGACTTTCCAGCATTTAGAATCATAAGCCAAATACATCTCTTTTTTTATAAATTATCCAGTCTGTGGTATTCTGTTATAGCAGTAGAAAATGGACTAAGACATAGGAATTTTAAAATAGACGTCTCCAACACAGGACAGCATGTATGCATGTTCACAAGTCATGCATTTCACTGAAGTCAATTAGCCTGAAGAAACAAACCTTTGTCATCCATGATTATCATTAAGATAGACCTTGTATAAGTCTGGATTCCTGATGTTGCAAGTCTTGATAATGCAAAAGCCTTGAGTAGATTTATTAATTGTTCTTTATTCACATGAAAAATAACCAGAGTTTAATATAGTTTAATTCTAATAAGCATATCGTTTGAGCCAAGCATAATGTAAGTCATTATTTTGGCACTGGTGAAAATGCAAAGAAGAGTAAATTTTGCACCTTGTCTTCTATGGATGGACTATGTATTTATGAAAATAGATGTGTAAAACAAGGTAACTTTGATACAAAGCAGACTGAAGTCTGCTGTCTAGGAGAGGTACGTACAGTAGACGCTGGAGTTTCTAATTAGGAATGATGTGATGGGCCTGAATTATCTGAAAACCTTCATGAAACAACTAGTATCTCTGAAAAGCTTCAAGAACTAGTGAGATTTTTGATTGGAGAAAAGACACCCATTCTAAGCCACAGAAATAGCACAGGAAAGGACTTATGTGCAAGAAAAGGAAAGGCATGCATGGGTGAAGAACAAAGAACTAGGTAAGACTATGTTTGCAAGATACACACACACTCATGCATGTACACACATACATCATGTACATTTATATTTTCTGAATTAACTTCATAATCTTCTTAAATTGCCAAGATATACATATGGAGCTCAGATAAGGACAAATTTCTTGTGCAATGAGCACTTGTTATTTAGAATTAAAAATGAGCTCAGCTTGTTTTTATTTAGTGGGTTGGTTGCTTCTTTGCCCCAAGATAACACAGTTATAGCCTGTGGCTGCAACACCGTGGTGGTGCGTGTGAGAAAGACTCACGTTGCTTCTACAGTACATCCTCAGGTACCCATGATATCTTCATTATATTAAAGGAATGGATAAATTTAGCAGGAATCTATAATTTAAATGACTGGCAATTTGCTAACTATTTAAGTGCATTTGGCAGAAAACATATTTGTTTTCTGGCTTCAAACTGCAATAGAGTCTTTGTAATTCACACCAGATTTGGAGCCTGTTCAGAAACACTTAGTTAAATTAATGAGATATTACCTACATCTGTTTTTCAATAGCTTCAGTCATGCCACCCAGTGGAAAATTTTTTTTTTTGTAGACTCAGTTAGATCAAAACCCATCTCAAGGACACACTTGTCTAATTGGTAAGATTGGCACAAGATTTCTTCAAGCAATTTCATTTGAGAACTCTACACAATGCATACTTGTTATATTTATTTTAGTTTGGGGTCATATACTTAGCTGATAGGTGCCAGTATTTTGTATGCTTATTGACATTATACTTATCCCCTTCATAGTTAGTTTACTTTGCACTCTTTTCTTTTATATGTAAACTAGGAATGGAAGCTCAGCAGATATTGGCTAAATGTGGTATTATGCTAATGAGAATGGTCATGATTAGTGCCCCAAAGAACTGGTCTTTCATTCTCACAGGGTAAATGTTTAACGTGTCTTGTTCACAGCATTGCAGAATACTCCCTTCTAAGCAGGTTAGTAATTGCATCACATCCAGCTACATTTTTAGACCTCAGGTAATGAAAGGTTTGCTTCTGAAGTCAGCCTTTAATATGAAACACAGCTGTAACAATATTCTACTCAGTATTTTTATATGTAAATATTCTCACAAAATTCAGAAAAAAGTAAATAGAATGATATAATACAGAAATATAATATCAGTTTTGTGACAGTCATCTTTCAGCATAGAACATTCTTCTCGTATTAGAAAGAAAGACGTGCTGACAGTAAAGAGGACATTTTAGATTAGGTTTCCCTTTTCCAGAATGGCCTATACAAAAATTTGTGAAATTAAAGGATACTTTTTTTTTTGATTCGCAATAGAAAAGCAACTCTAAGTTTGAGATATTATTGTTGGTTCTAAGAATAAATATCATTTTCTTTTCACTGATATCTACAATATTAAAAAAAAGGATTTTCTTTCTTGAAAGCCCTTTGATGCCAAGAATGGAAAATTACATCTTGTATCCAGGAAGATAATGTTTTATTTCATTAAAATGAAAAGCAAAATACGAGGAGAGGGTTTCAGTGTAATTCTTTAAGGGACAAAGTAAAAGATTCATGTAGGAAAAGTAAAATCCTGGATCTGCCATTTTTCACTCTTCAAATCCTGTGAAAGGTTTTGGCCCTTTTGGCTATTCATGGAGACATCCTGGGGTTCATGCAGAGTTGAAGACCTGTACCCTGTGAGCTGCATTTTCAGCCTTAAGCCTGCTGGCTGCCTCAAGAGGGGCCTGAAAGAAAGGAATGTATCCCGTTCAGCACAGATTCTTCCAGGTATAACAGGAAATAGGGGCACAGCATCCCATCACAGTTAATGAGAGAATGACTTCTGCTAGGTCCCGAAGGAGTAAAAAGGAGCAGGCTGGGCTTGCACTGGGCATGGAGATCTTTGATTCAAGATTGGGTAAAAGACAGTCATTTTCCACTTAAGTATTTCACCCTCCACCTCCTAGTTCCACAGCAGGCTTTTCACTTTAAGTTTAGTGCAACAAAGCAGGAAGAATTTTGTAATCATTAGGAAGAAATTTTGAGTTGAGCTTTTATTGTATTTTCTTTTGCTCTTAAAACCAAAATTCTACCCATCTTGTCAATTCCAAGGAGGAAGACAACTAATCCTTCTAACAGAATCATCAGGATTTCTTAAGCATAAAAATGAATAAAAGAGGGGGAAAAGGATTTCTGCATGAAAGTTAATTTTATGATATTGTAGCATAAATTGTGACCTGGCAGTTCCCTCTGCAGTTTAACAGAACTGGCAGCAGGCACCACGACTTAAGCAGACTCTGTATAATGAGAAGCACAGACAAATCGGTGTGAAGGACAGGGAGAAGGACATTACCGCTTCCCTCCTGGAGGATTAAAAATAGTAAAATATTGCAACCAGAATTTATCTAAAGGGAGATACTATCTGAGAAAGAAAGAAAGAAAGAAAAAAACAAACCATGATTTTAAGAGACGGCCATAGCCCAGCGTATCATGAGCAGAGCCAGAGAGCCTGGTGCTGGCGTTTGAAAGAAGTCAGGCAGCCTGTGAGGGTTGACCAGTTCTCCTTCTAAAGACCTGGTGGCAGGTAATTTTTTACATTATAATTTTGAAGTGGGACGATTTTCTAAAGCATAATTAGAGTGAAATGAACATGTTACTCCTTTTTCACTATTAAATGCAGGCAAGAGACGTGGGTCTGCCAAATAAATGAGAGAATTTATTGTTAGAAGCCAAGAGCCAGCCTCGGCTGACAATCAGACAGGTGACTCTCAAAGGGTGCCGTCCAGAGGAGGTGGACAGGCGCTGTCCAGGTTTGCGTGGCTGAATGTGTAATGGGCCTGCTCTGAGCTCTGTATCCACGGAAGCAATATCAGAGCAATTTCCAAAATTACACAGGGCATGCAGCTTCTAAATCTCCTAGCAGAACAGCCATATTATCCTGAGGACTTGCAATAACAGGAATTATATGCAATTTTCTGATAATGACTCCATTAATGTGAGTCGCTGCTGACAATACAATTTGTTAAACATTGCTGGATTCCTAAATCTTACAGTCTATCACTCTGAAATCCATCATTAACACCCCTACCATCATCACGATGATCGTCAGCATCACCGTCATTGTTGTCACCTTCATGGCCTTCATCATCATCATCTGAATAGCTAGGGACCTATTTGAGTTCACCAATATTACCTTTTCTTGATTTCACTAACATTTGAAAGGAAAAAAAAAAACATGTCTTTATCCATTCAAGTATGCTTTGTAGTCGATGTGTTTGATTCCTTCTTTGGGAAACTAGGACCTCAAATTAATTAAATTTAGGCCAGGTATAGCTTAGCTTTAAATTGCCTTTTATATCAACAGAAACTGCCTTGGCAATTAGGTGCTCAAATGAGTGCCTGTAAATATCCATTATTTTACATTCTAATATACCTGGACATAGAATAGAACCTACAGCTCATGGTCTATCTGATTTACTAATTGGGAGCAGCAACTGCACCTTGTGTTTTGAACCTGAATTAATTAACCAAAACAGATTAAATTGTCTTTGAGGTATTCAAGGGAGTGACACCAAAGGCAGAATTGAATGAGGAAAGGACTATTTAACTTTTTTTAATCACAAAGGTCAGCTTTTTTAATGTAGCAGATCATTAGAAAGTCTTCAAAGGTGGAAGGAAACTAGCAAAACAATCTTAGCTTCCCACAGGAATATGTAACCTGCTTTTCCTTAGACCAGCTTTCCTTTTGGTGATAAGAGATTTTCCCAGGACACATACCTTTGCCTAAAGAATTACATTTACCTACCAGACTTGCTCAATCAACAGAATTTTTTGTTCTGTACATGAAACTAACTTCTGAGATTTTCCTCCTCTTTATCCCTGAAGCCACTGCCATGTCCTGATTCTTGCACGTTCCTGTATTACTGCACTTGCAGCCTAAGCAGCCGCACGGCCTCTTCTTCCTCCTTCCACCTCAAGGTGAAGAGTAAACCAGACTAACACATCTAAAGTATTTTCACCTCATTGTCTTCATGCTCAAGAAGATTCCATAGTTTTCTCATTGCCTAGTGAACACAATTATAACCTCTTTCCCTAGATTCTAGGGATGGTTGGACGCTGGATTCCAAGTCACACAGTTCCAGTAGGTCCCATCCCACAATACTCCGTTCCTTGGGGACCTGGATGCGTTTGCAGTGCTCAGATTAGACCAGGCCCTGCCCACCTGGTCACTGCTGATCTCTACCTCTGTCTCCCCATGTCCAGCTATCCCCAAACAATTAAAACACACATAGAGACGGAGATAAAAGAGGGAGGGACAGGGGAAGGAAGCAGACAAGCTGTTTCTTCCTCTGGAGTTGTTTTCTGCCTTTTTATTTTAATCACTAGATTGCCTCCTGATCAATAACTCAATGAGAGAGGGTTAGCTCCTCATAGAAATGTATTCAGAAACATTATAAAATTGGGTCTTCAAATTTTTTTTTCTGAGAATCAGTTTGAGAAATAGCCCATTAAAAATTATCTCTGGGTATTTTATAAAATTCCATAGAAGACACTATCCACTATGTTCTTCAATATCACTGATATTTTTTAAAAAAATCTGTCATAATGAATTGCCTAATTTTTTAAAGTCTTTTTAAATGACACTGTATTTTATTATTTAATATATTAAATTTGCTTTTTGCTCCAATGGCCAGTTTTTAACCCCATTTTTTTTTTTTTTTTTTTTTTGAGACGGAGTCTCACTCTGTCTCCCAGGCTGGAGTGCAGCGGCGCAATCTCGGTCACTGCAACCTTCACTTGCCGGGTTCAAGCGATTCTCCTGCCTCAGCCTCCAGAGTAGCTGGGACTACAGGTGCGTGCCACCACGTCTGGCTAATTTTTTGTATTTTTAGTAGAGACAGAGTTTCACGGTGTTAGGTTGGTCTTGATTCCCTGACCTCGTGATCCGCCCACCTCAGCCTCCCAAAGTGCTGGGATTACATGCGTGAGCTACCGCGGCTGATCCAGTTTAGCCCAAATGTTATTCTTGTTTCCAGGAACTTCTGTTAACTCAGTTTTTGAAACAATTATCTCAGAAACCCAACTCACTTCTTTCATTACTAGGTCTCCCTATTATGCCCTTGTTTTAACATTTTGCATTATGCTTGCACCTCTGTAGCCATTTTTAGTACTTTTTTGACATCTCTATGAGGAATCTACGTGATAAACAGCAACAAAAAATCCTCATGCTAACGTTATTGTTTTGTTTTGTTTTGTTTTTCTTTGTGACTGCAGGGCAATTTGGTTGTGGTTATTTCTCTTGGAGAACCTAGATTAGGCTTACTGAAAAACAGTTAAAACAATAGGGGCTTCTTCATATTAAGGAGCGCTCGGGTCCCCCAGCCCTCCTACATCCTAAGGACTTTGGCTCCTTAGTTGTCCCTCTTTCTCCTGCAGCAACATCCTTTCTCCAGTCTTTCTTGAATCTCTTCCAGCAGCACACAATCGAGCACTAATGTTTCCCCATTCCCCCAGTGAAAAGCAAATAAAACACTCCTGCTAGACATTAGCCCCCGTCCAGCTACTGCCCAATTTCTCTCAATTTTCTTACACAGTCATATTGGCTCTGGGTCCTGTTCTTCATTCCCAGCACTATCAACACACCCACTTTTGGCTTCCCCCACATCGCTGCTGAAATCGTCTCACTAATGACTTCCGTATTAAAGAAGTTCTTCCCTATGTCCATCTTATTCAACATCTCAGCATTTGGTCTCCTCTTGAAATATGCATTTTTCTTGCTGCTTCTGACAAAAGCCTCTTCTGGTTTCCCTGCGAACTCACTACACTGTCCTTATGAGGCGCTTCTGTGGGCTCCTCCTGCTCTGTCTCCCAGTGTGAGGTTTCTTGGATTTCAGTCCTGGTTTTCAGTCCTGGATGTTCTTATCTTCACTCCCTATACCCTCTACTGAAATAATTTAAATAATTACCATATATGTATTTACCATTTATGCTGATAAGTTTCAAATTTGTATCTTCATATTAGACTGTAAGTCTGAGGTTTCAACACATATTTACCCTCTATTTATTTATTATTTTTTAATTTTTATGGGTACATGAGATATTTTGATACAGGGGCATACAATGCATAATTATTACATCAGAGTAAATGGGGTATCCATCACCTCAGGCATCTATCATTTCTTTGTGTTCTGAACATTTCTATTTACTCTTATAGTTATTTTTAAATATACAATACATTTTTGTTGACTGTAATTACTCTGTTGTGCTAACAAATACTAGATTTTATTCAGTCTATCTAACTATATTTTTGTACCCATTAATCATCTCTTAACTTCCTTTAGATTCTTTCCTCCTAGTTGTGTGATAGATATCTCAAAGTCAGCCTATCCACAATAAATAAACCCACTGGTTACTGAACCTCTCAGTGGTGATATCTCTTACCATGTTATTCATGTCAACAAACAGTGACCACTTTCAACCAGATACTCAAGTCATCAGGCTAGGAGTCTGGGTTGGTCCCTTCTTTTCCCTCCCCACCCACATTCCATCAATAAATCCTATTAATTACCTTTAAAATATATCTTGAATCTGCTTACTGCTGTGTATTTTAAATGCCAGTTGTTTAACATTAACACATGATGCAGGTCATTTATCTTTTCTTCTCTGCACCCAACTGCACACTCGGTCATCTCTTGGATGGAATAGAACCAGTCTCCTATTTTCTTTTATTTTTATTTTAAGTTCTGAGGTACATATGCAGGATGTGCAGGTTTGTTACATAGGCAAATGTGTGCCATGGTGGTTTGCTGTACTTATCAACCCATCACCTAGGTATTAAGCCCTGCATGCATTAGCTATTTATCCTGATGCTCTCCCCCCACCACCCCTGAGAAGCCCCAGTGTGTGTTTTTCCCCTCCCTGTGTCCATGTGTTCTCATTGTTCAGTTCCCACTTATAAGTAAGAACATGCGGTGTTTGGTTTTCTGTTCCTGCATTAGTTTCTGAGAATAATGGCTTCCAGCTCCATACATGTCCCTGCAAAGGATATGATCTCATTCTTTATTATGGCTGCATAGTATCCCATGGTGCATATGTATCACATTTTCTTTATCCAGTATATCATTGATGGGCATTTGGATTGATTCCATGTCTTTGCTATTGTGAATAGTGCTGCAGTGAACATATACGAGCATGTGTCTTTATAGTAGCATGATTTATATTCCTTTGGGTATATACACAGTCAATGGGATTGCTGGGTCAAATGGTATTTCTGGGTCTAGGTCTTTGAGGAATCACCACACTGTCTTGCACAATGGTTGAACGAATTTACATTTCCACCAACAGTGTAAAAGCGTTCCTATTCCTTCGCTGCCTTGCCAGCGGCTGTTGTTTCTTGACTTTTTAATAATCGCCATTCTGACTGGTGTGAGATAGTATCTCATTGTGATTTTTATTCGCATTTCTCTAATGCTCAGTGATGTTGACTTTTTTTTAATGTTTCCTGGCCACATAAATGTCTTCTTTTGAGAAGTGTCTATTCATGTCTTGCCCACTTTTTAATGGGGTTGTTTTTTTTTTCTTGCAAATTTGTTTAAGTTCCTTCTAGACTCTGGATATTAGACCTTTGTCAGATGGCTAGATTGCAATTTTTTTTTTCCATTCTGTGGGTTATCTGTTTGCTCTGATCATAGTTTCTTTTGCTTGCAGAGGCTCTTTAGTTTAATTAGATCCCATTTGTCAATTTTTACTTTTGTTGCAGTAGTTTTTGACATCTTCATTATAAAATCGTCACCTACGCCTATGTCCTGAATGGTATTGGCTAGATTTTCTTTAGGGTTTTTATAGTTTTGGGTTTTACATTTCAATCTTGAATCCATCTTGAGTTAATTTTTGTATAAGGTGTAAGAAAGGGTTCCAGTTTTAATTTTCTGTGTATGGCTGGCCAGTTCTCCTAGCACCTGTTTTTAAATAGGGAACACTTCCCCCATTGCTTGTTTTTGTCAGATTTGTCAAAGATCAGGTGGTTGTAGGTGTGCCGTCTTATCTCTGACTTCTCTATTCTGTTCCATTGGTCGATGTGTCTGTTTTTATACCAGCACCATACTGTTTTGGTTACTATGGTTTGAAGTCGGGTAACATGATACCTCCAGCTTAGGATTGTCCTGGCTATACGTGCTCTTTTTTGGTTCCATATGAATTTTAAAATAGTTTTTTTCTAATTCTGTGAAGAATGTCAATGTTTGTTTAATAGGAATAGCATTGAATCTATAAACTACTTTGGGCAGTATGGCCATTTTCACGATACTGATTCTTCCTACTCGTGAGCATGGAACGTTTTTTCATTTGTTTGTGTCCTCTATCATTTCCTTGAGCAGTGGTTTGTAGTTCTCCTTGAAGAGGTCCTTCATTTTCCTTGTTAGCTCTATTCCTAGGTATTTTATTCTCTTTGTAGCAATTGTGAATGGGAGTTCATTAGTGATTTGGCTCTCTGCTTGTCTGTTGGTGGTGTTTAGGAATGCTTGTGATTTTTTTCGCATTGATTTTGTATCCTGAGACTTTGATGAAGTTGCTTATCGGCTTAAGAAGCTTTTGGGCTGAGACGATGGGATTTTCTACATATAGGATCATGTCATCTGCAAACAAAGACAGTTTGACTTCCTATTTGAATACCTTTTATTTCTTTCTCTTGCCTGATTTCCCTGGCCAGAACTTCCAATACTATATTGAATAGGAGTGGTAAGAGAAGCATTTTTATCTTGGGCCCCTTTTCAAGGGGAATGCTTCCAGGTTTTTTTTTTGCCCATTCAGTATGATATTAGCTGTGGGTTTGTTATAAATGGCTCTTATAATTTTGAGATATGTTCCTTCATTACCTAGTTTATTGAGAGTTTTTAACAAGAAAAAGTGTTAAATATTATCAAAGACTTTTTCTGCATCTATTGAGATAATCATGTGGTTTTCATCTTTAGTTCCGTTTATGAATTGTGTTTATTGATTTGCATATGTTGATCCAGCTTTTGGGTTGAAGCTGACTTGACCGTGGTGGATAAGATTTTTGATGTGCTGCTGGATTCAGTGTGCCAGTATTTTGCATTAAGTTTCATCAGGGATATTGGCCTGAAGTTTTCTTTGTTTGTTGTATATCTGCCAGGTTTTAGTACCAGGATGATGCTGGCCTCATAAAATGAGCTAGGAAGAAATCTCCTCTTTTCAATAGTCTGGAATAGCTTCAAAAGTAATGGTACCACCTCCTCTTTGTACCTCTGGTAGAATTCAGCTATAAATCTATCTGGTCTTGGGCATTTTTGGTTGGTAGTCTATTTATTATTGCCTCTATTTCAGGGATATTGGTCTATTCAGAGATTCAACTTCTTTCTGGTTCAGTCTTGGGAGTGTGTAGTTGTCCAGAAATTCATCCATTTTGTCTAGATTTCCTAGTGAATTTGCCTAGAGGTGTGTACTGTATTCTTTGATGGTCGTTTGTATTTCTGTGGGGTCAGTGGTGATATCCCTTTTATCGTTTCTTATTGTGTTTATTTGATTTTTCTCTCCTTTCTTCTTTATTAGTCTAGCTAGCAGTCTATCTATTTTATTAATTTTTTCAAAAAACCAGCTCCTGGATTTGTTGATTTTTTTGAAGGGTTTTTCGTGTCTCTATCTCCTTCAGTTCCACTCTGATCTTAGTTATTTCTTGTTTTCTGCTAGCTTTGGAGTTTGTTTGCTCCTGGTTCTCTAGTTCTTTTAGTTGTGATGTTAGGATGTCAATTTTAGATCTTTCTAGCTTTATGATGTTGGCATTTAGTGCTATGAATTTCCCTCTTAGCACTGCTTTAGCTGTAGTCCAGAAATTCTGGTACATTGTCTCTTTGTTCTTGGTTTCAAAGAACTTCCTGAATTCTGCCTTAATTTCATTATTTACCCAGGAGTCATTCAGGAGCAGGTCGTATAGTTTCCGTGTAGTCGTGTGGTTTCAAGTGAGTTTCTTAATCTTCAGTTCTAATCTGTTTGCATTGTGGCCTGAGAGACTGTTCATTATGATTTCAGTTCTTTCGTGTTTGCTGAGAGTGTTTTGCTTCCAATCATGTGATCAGTTTTAGAGTAAGTGCCATGTGACACCAAGAAGAATGTATATTCTGTTGCATTTGGTAAAGAGTTCTGTAGATGTCTGTTAGGTCCACTTGATCCAGAGCTGAGTTCAAGTCCTAAATATCTTTGTTAATTTTCTGTCTCGATGATCTGTCTAATATTGACATGAGGTGTTAAAGTCTCCCACTATTATTGTGTGGGAGTCTAAGTCTCTTTGTAGATCTCTAAGAACTTTTTTATGAATCTGGGTGGTCCTATATTGGAGCATATTGATGCATATATATTTAGGATAGTTAGCTCTTCTTGTTGAATTGAACCCTTTACCATTATGTAATGCCCTTCTTTGTCTTTTTAAATCTCTGTTGGTTTAAAGTCTGTTTTGTCAGAAATGAAGATTGCAACACATGCTTTATTTTGCTTTCCATTTCCTTGGTAAATTTTCCTTCATCCTTTTATTTTGAGTCTGTGTGTCTTCGCACATGAGATGGGTCTCTTGAATACAGGACATTGGGTCTTGACTATCCAGCTTGCCATTCTGGGGCTTTTAATTGGGGCATTTAGACTATTTGCATTTAAGATTAATATTGTTATGTATGAATTTGATCATGTCATCATGAACCTAGCTGGTTATTTTGCAAACTTGTTAATGTAGTTACTTCATCGTGTCATTGGTCTGTGTACTACAGTGTGTTTTGCAGTTGCTGGTAATGGTTTTTCCTTTCCATATTTAGGGTTTCCTTCAGGAGCTCTTGCAAGGCAGGCCTGGTGGTGATGAATTCACTCAGTATCTTCTTGTCTGTAAAGGATTTTATTTCTCTTTCACTTATGAAGCTTAGTTTGGCCAGATATAAAATTCTGGTTTGGAAATTCTTTAAGAATGTTGAATATTGGCCTCCAATCACTTTTGGCTTGTAGGGTTTCCACTGACAGGGTTGCTGTTAGTCTGATGGGCTTCCCTTTGCAGTGACCTGGCCTTTCTCTCTGGCTGCTCTTAACATTTTTTCCTTCGTTTTGACCTTGGAGAATCTGATGATTATGGGTCAGGGGTTGATCTTCTTTCTCATGGAGTATCTTACTGGGGTTCTCTGAATTTCCTGAATTTGAATGTTGGCCTGTCTTGCTAGGTTGAGGAAGTTCTTCTGGATGATATCCTGAAGTATGTTTTCCGACTTGGTTCCATTCTCCCCATTTCTTTCAGATACCCCAATCAGTCATAGGTTCAATCTTTTTACATAATCCTATAGTTCTCAGAGGTTTTGTTTATTCCTATTCATTCTTTTTTCTCTAATCTTGTCTGCCTGTCTTATTTCAGCAAGGTAGTCTTCAAGCTCTGAGACTCTTTCCTCTGCTTGGTCTATTTGGCTATTGATACTTATAGTGGCATTGTGAAGTTCTCATGTTGTGTTTTTCAGGTCTATCAGGTCATTTATGTTTCTCTCTAAATTGATTATTCTGGTTAACAGCTCCTGTAATGTTTTATCATGGTTCTTAGCTTCCTTGCATTGGATTAGAACATATTCCTTTAGCTCAGTGAAGTTTGCTATTACACCCCTTCTGAAGCTTACTTCTATCAGTTCATCCATCTCAGCCTCAGCCCAGTTCTGTACCCTTGCTGGAAAAGTGTTCAATCATTTGAAGAAGAGGTACTCTGGCTTTTTGAGTTTTCAGCATTTTTCCATTGATTCTTTCCCACCTTCATAAGCTTATCTACCTTCAATCTTTGAGGCTGCTGAACTTTGGATGGGGTTTTTGTGGGGTCTTTTTGTTGTTGTTGTTGTTGTTGTTGCTTTCTGTTTGTTTTTCTTCTAAAAATAAAAACCTCAGGGCTTTCTTCCATAAGACTGCTGCAGTTTGCTGGGGGTCCACTCCAGACCCTATTCCCCAGGGTCCCTGCCACATATGGAGGTGTCACCAGTGGAGGCTGCATAACAGCAAAGGTGGCTGTCTGCTCCATCCTCTGGGAGCTCCGTCCCGGGGGGGACCAACCTGATGCCCAGTCTACTGTTTTCTAACCTCAATTATTGCTCCCCACTTCCATTGCTTTTTTATAGAAATCTGTGTTTAGCTTCTTAAAAAATAAATAATATGACTCTATATCTGTCTGAAATCCTGTAGTGGTTGACTACTGTACCTAAAATAAAACAAAATGCTTTTCTGTACCCTACAAGATAATGATCTGACCCATACCTTCAGCTTCAACCTCAGCTAACGCCAATATTCATCTTGCTCTCTCTTCTCCTAATAGCTAGAAATTAATTATTTCAGTATTTAAAATATATCTTACTTTTTCTTATTTGAAGTTTTAAAAAATTATTTGTAAATCTTATGTAATCTGCATTTAGCCTTACTCCTTATACTGTTCACACGATGGATCTTTCTTACCCTTTAGATTCACCTTAAATGTCACTTCATCCAGAATGCCTTCTGTGATTGTCCTATGTAAAATGCAATTCCGCTCTATTTCTAGCCAGTCTCTTTTTTCTCTCTTTAATGCCACATTTTTAATGTGTATTACTTTTGGCTTTTCTGTATTTTATCTGTCTCCCTGAATTTAATGTGAACTCCAAGAGGGCAGAGACATTGTCTAGCTTGTACCTCCTTGAATGCACAAATTTTCTATTAATATCATTAAGTCAATGGATGAATAAACTACATAAATAAATTAAAAAATGGGCTGAGCACGGTGGCTCATGCCTGTAATCGCAGCACTTTGGGAGGCCGAGGTGGGCAGATCACCTGAGGTTGGGAGTTTGAGACCAGCCTGACCAACATGGAGAAACCCCGTCTCTACTAAAAATGCAAAATTAGCTGGGTATGGTGGTGCATGCCTGTAATCCCAGCTACTCAGGAGGCTAGCCTGTAATCCCAGCTACTCAGGAGGCTATGGCAGGAGAATTGCTTGAACCCGGGATGCAGAAGTTACAGCGAGCCAAGATCCCGCCATTGTACTCCAGCCTGGTCAACAACAGTGAAACTCTGTCTCAAAAAAAAAAAAATTAAAAAATGAAGTTTCTTCATCATTATATTGCTACTCCCACTTCTACATTTCACTTTCCTGAAGGAATCCGTGGTTAAGACTTGGCTATGTGTCTTTGCCTATATTTTCATTTGAGTCATTAGTTTAATAGAAATGCTTTCATGCAATGTTTGACTCCCCCTTTCCACTAATCCATGTCTTATTTATCATTCAATAATTACTTCCATTTCCAACTCCCCCTGAAGACATTTTGATTTGCCCCAGCCCATTTGCATCTTTCTTGTCTTTGAATTTTCATCCGTTGATAATTATACCACCTATAGTCTGACTGAACAAATTACAGCTGGCTACTGATCACCTATGTGCACACAGTCCTATGTGAGCAATTTGATTATATTATTTTTATGGCTTCCTCAAAAATGCTAAGATATATTCCATATTTTACACAACAAGAATGCCCATACACAGCTGGTAGTAACATAAAAACAGGATCAGCACTTTGGAAAACAGTTTGGTAGTTTTTTTTAGAAGTTAAACATATACCTATCATGTAATCCAGCCATTCTACAACTAGATATTTACCCAAAAGATATGAAAATATACATCAACACAAGGATTTGATATGAATTTTCATAGCATCTTTATTTATAATAACCCAAACTGGAAATAATTCAAATGGCCATCAATCGGTTTACTACCTTAGTTCATTTGGGCTGCTATAACAAAATGATCTTAGACTGGATAATTTACAAATGATACAAATTTATTGCTGACATCTCTGGAGGCTGGGAAGTCCAAGATCAAGGCACCACAGATTCAATGCCTGTGAGAGCTTTGTCCTGATAGATAGTGCCTTCCTAGTGTCCTCACATGGCAGAAGAGACAAAAAAAAAGCTCTCTAGGGCCTCATTTATAAGGCCACTAATCCCAATTATGAGGGCTCTGTTCCTATAAACTAATCACTTTCCAGATGCCCCATGTCCCAACACCACTGCACTAGGGATTAAATTTCAACTTATGGGTTTTAGGGGATATTTTCAGGCCATACCATTTAATCCCCGCCCCTCTCCCTAAGATTCATGTCCTTCTTACATGAAAAATGCATTAATTCTATCGCAATAGCCCCAAAAGTCTTAATTCATACCAATAACAAACGCTTAAAGTCCAATAGTTTCATCTAAATACCATCTAAATTGAATGTCTGTGAAACTCAAGTTGGTACCCATCTGGAGGCAAATTCCCTTCTAACTCTGAGTCTGTAAAATAAAACAAGTGATGTGTTTCCAAAATACAATGGAGGGACAGGCATAAGATAGACATTCCCACTCCAAAAGGGAGATACAGGAAAGAAGAAAGGGTAATGAGTTGCAAGTAAGCCCAAAGCTCAATAGGGGGAAAAACACTCAGTCAAAAAGATTGAGAATAATTGTATTTGACTCCATTTTTTACCTGGGCTGGAGGTTGGGCTGCTAAGTCTTCAGGCAACCCCACCCTCATGGTTACAGCCCTTGCTGCAGCTCTCAGGGGTTGGAGTCCAACACATGTGGCTCTCAGGTACTAAACTTGCATGCCAGTGGCTCCAACAGGCTGGGGTCTCAGGGTAGCCCCAACCCAATGGCTCCATTTATGGATATACAAAATGAGCTCTATCTATAAAGTGGGACTCTACTCAGCAATAAAAAGGAATAAAATATGAATACACACAGCTACATTGATTCAACTAAAAAATCATGCTAATTAAATGAAGTCTGATGCAAAAATTAAGTACTGTAAGACTATTAAAATTCTAGAAAATGGGAATTAATCTATGGTTATTAAAAGTAGAACAGTGGCTGCATGGAACCAGGGGTGGAAAAAATGGTAAATTGAAAAGTGGCCCAAGGAAATTTTAGGTGGTGATGGAAACGTTTTGGTTGTGACATTGGTTTCATTGGGTGTATATTTCACTGGTTTTGTTTGTATATATCTGTCAAAACTCATCAAATTTTAACCTATAATAGGTGCAGTCTAGTCTAAATAAATTATATGTCAATAAATTTGTTCAAAATAAACCCTGAAGCTTTAAGAGTCTGAGTATATTGATTAAGCTTTCATAGCTTCAGAACAGACTTAGAACCACAAATCTCATATTCTTGGCTACTTTAAAGTACTACATTGAAATTATTGATTATTATATGATGTCATGATAATTTTTCATTGACATTTTCCACAATTGATTGACATAAGAAGATCTAAACTAAACTGCAAACTTTTTCAAATAATGTGAACATGAATCATATTCATATACCAGGAGCAACATACATCATGTCAAATGCATGGTGTGTTTGTGTGTGTAGGTGTGTGTGTAGGTGTGTGTATGCACATTTGATATGGATAAGTTAATTGATTACTTAGCTATATACTTGACTAATTTTTTTATGAGTGTGGCTAATTATATTTTTCAAATATGGTTGCAATAATGTCTTCCATTCAACCTGTGACCTCTATTAAGACTTGACTTAATTTCCTTCCTCTGTAATCTGGATAGGTTTGCAACAATTTCAACCAACAGTCCCACATGATCCAATGGAACTTTCAAGCCTTCATCATAAGAGACAGTGCAACTTCTTCTTTGTCTCCTGAAATATTCCCACTTGGGGTTTCAGGCTTCCCTGTAAGAAGTTCATCAGCACTGAGGCTGCTGTGCTATGAAGAAGCCAAGCAATATAGAAAGGCCACATGTAAGCACACTGGTTGGGATTCCCATTATTCAATTCATCCCAAGCCAGGCACCAATCAGCTGGCAGGTGATTTTAGTCACAGGTGTAAGTCATATCCACCATTGTGGCTTCCTATCTGATACCCTAGACAATTTGGGCCAGAGATCAACCATTCTTGCTGAGCCCTGTACTAATTCCTGTCTGTTACTGACTGTATGTTTGTCCTCCCAAGATTCGTATGTTGAAATCATGTGGAATATGTGTATGCATAGCATTAGGAAGTGGGGCCTTTGGATGGTAATTTTTCATGAGGGTGGAGCCTTCTTGTGAGATTAGTGACCCTATAAAAGAGAAACAAGAGTTTGCCTCCTCCCTCTTGTCTGTGCGTTGTGAAGATGCAATGAGAAGACGACCATCTGCAAACCAGGAAGCAGGCTCTCATCAGACACTGGATGTACTAGCTCCCTGATCTTGGACTTTCCAGCTTCCAGAGCTATGAGAAACTAATTTCTGCCATTTAAGCTACTGAGTCTATGATATTCTGTTATAGCAACCCAAACTAAGACACTGTCCCAGCAAATCTGTGACCATAACAAAATAATCAGTTTAAGCTACCAAGTTTATTATTATAGAGAATTACTAACTGGAAGATGAATTTTGTCCCACAAGTGGGGTTCTGCTGTTGTAAAAATCTTAAAGCATATGGTATTTGCTGTAGAACTGGACAGCTGGTATAAGCTGAAAAGCCCTTTAATGTCAGTTATGCAAGTCAGTACGTTAATTAAAACAAAAAGAGATTTGAGGAGATTATTCATAGTCTGGAAAGCTTCAGGTAGGCTGGTGGTTAAGGCTGTAAAGACAGAGAAGAAATTGTTATTAGAGAGTGGAAAATAAAATGACCCTTGTTCTGTAGTAGAAGAAATTTTAGTAACACTGTCATATGTGCTGATGTGAAAAAATATATTATTTATCTAATTAACTGATGGATTTGGCTAAGAAAAATTTCAGGCAGATTTTGAAAGTACTCTTTGATTTCTTTTATCTGTGTATAAGGAGATATGGTGAGAGAAGAGTGAGAAAAAAAGAAAGAAAGAAAAAGCTATTTGTATTTTCAAGCAAAGTTTCAGGAAAATATAAAGAAGCCAGGACTTACTGGGTTCAAAACAAAATTGTTTCTCATTCCCTGTCTCTTTCATTCAGCAAAAAAACTTTTTTCAAAGTAAGAAAGAATCCTAGAGAAAAATAAAATCCAGCATACTATCAGAAATACTTCTTAGGATAAAGATGAAGCCAAAGGTGTAACTTTAAAACTGTCAGTGAAAACCTCAGAAAAATTTAAGGAGATGCTTCATAAGCCTTTCAGATAAACAAACAGCCTTCTAAGGATCTTAAGGACATCTCTTGCATAGCCTCTCTGTTAAATGATAGGTTTTTAAGGGATCTTAAAAGCATTGTTGTCACAGCAATCTCATAGGAAGCCCAAGGTAAGAGAACAGCTGATCTTTAAGAGAGTTTGGGACATGTCTTTTATTTGATGGATTCATACATTGAGACATAGAACATCCACAGTGTTTTTAATGGCATTTTATCAGTTTGGAGCAAAAGAGACAATGACAGTATGAAATGTGAAGTGGACTTTCAAAACACCCTCCTCTCCAACTTTTTACAGGCAGGTAGGATGCAGGGAAGTCTACTTAATTGCAACCACAGGCCATTTCTTATGGAAAAAAATAGTTTGACCCAGAGGATAAAACAAGGGTCCTCAGAGGGTGAAACCAAAACTTCAAGTTATAGAACCAAGAGTTAGAGCCATATCTTCATGACGGTGAGACTGTACCTGAGTCAAGGAACAGACTACCTGTGCCCAGCTGAACTTCAGAACTACTTTGAACAGGTGACTGCTGCGTGCATCCCATGGAGTGCCTATAGCAATTATCTAGGCTTGTACCACCATTGTATTTTAAGTGGGAAAAAGATAAGAATTTTTCTTTTGAGTTCACAGTTCTTTAAATTGAGAGATATAATGTTAAAAGTGCCACACCTCAGAAGGCTTATTATATTTAGACCTGATTTAAATGACAAGATCCTGGATTGAGAGTAAATATTGAAATAGGATGAGACTTGGGGTCTTGAAGGAAGGATGTCAAAGATAAACACATGCAGACATTTGTTGAAGTAGTTAAACAATTTTACTCAGTAACTACTGACAGTAGAGGAAAGAGCTGAGCTCCATTCTGATTTGTGCAAAGTTAACTATGTGTTTTGAAGGGATAATGAGGAAATATGGAGAAGGTGCAAATGGGAGCTCAGGTAAAAATTGTAAAGGGTTGGTCAGTGTAAATAGGACCTGTGTCTGCTATCTGGCACTCACTGTGCAAATTAGGATTCCATCCTCCCACACAGACTGGGAGACAGAGATCTTATTCTTCTTGACAATTACATTCCAAAGCTATGGCTTTCAGGTTCTTTAGAAAGACATTCTGGAGTTGTAGGAGCTATTTATATATATCAAAGAGGCCGAGAAGAGATCCACAAATATAAACCCTTTTAAATAAATGCTCTAAAAATGGGAGGTCAGGGGCCTTCTGTCAGGTTCTGTCTGGAACAAACTTTAAGTTATGCCTGGGTTGAATTTTCTTGGGCAGACATTGTAATGATGGGCTGGAGTCACCCTAGGAACACAGTACCTTATGTTGCTAGAAGTCACGCCGGGGTTTGGTCATCTCTTAGTCCAGAGGTTTGGATGGTATGTTAGTCTGTTCTCACACTGCTATAAGAACGTACCTGAGACTGGGTAATTTATAAAGGAAACAATGTTAATTGACTCACAGTTCCACGAGGCTGAGGAAGCCTCAGGAAACTTACAATCATGGCAGAAGGGGAAGCAAACACATTCTTCTTCACATAGCAGGATAAGAAAGAAGTGCAGAGTGAAAGGGGGAACAGCCCCTTATAAAACCATTAGGTCTCATGAGAACTCACTGAATATCATGAGAACAGCATGGGGGAACTGCCCCCAGGATCTAATTACCTCCCATAAAGTCTCTCCAGCAACACATGGGAATTACAATTCAGATTACAATTCAAGATGAGATTTGGGTGAGGACACAGCCAAACCATATCATTTTGCCCCTGGCCCCTCCAAAATCTCATGTTCTTACATTTCAAAACACAATCATGCCCTTCCAACAGTCCCCCAAGTCTTAACTCATTTCAGCGTTAACCCAAAAGTCCTAATCCAGAGTCTCATCTGAGACAGGGCAAGTCCATTTCACTTATGAGCTGGTAAAATTAAAAGCAAGTTAGTTATTTCCTAGATATAATGGTGGTACAGGAATTGAGTAAATATACTCATTCCAAATGGGAGAAATTGGCCAATACAGAGGGGCTACAGGCTCCATGAAAGTCCAAAATCCAACAGAGCAGTCAAAGCTCCAAAATGATTTCCATTGACTCCATGTCGTCTCACATCCAGGTCACACGGATGCAAGAGGTGGGCTTCCATAGCTTTGGGCAGCTCCGCCCCTTTGGTTTTGCAGGGTACAGCCCCCCTTCCAGCTGCTTTCATGGGCTGACATTGAATGTCTATGGCTTTTCCAGGTGCATGATGCAAACTTTCAGTGGATCTACCATTCTGGGGTCTGGAGGATGGTGGCCATCTTCTCACAGCTCTACCAGGCAGTGGCCCAGTAGGGACTCTGTGTGAGGGCTCGAACCCCATATTTCCCTTCTACACTGCCCTAGCAGAGGTTCCAGATGAGGGCTCCACACCTGCAGCAAACTTCTGCCTGGACATCCAGCTGTTTCCATACATCTTCTGAAATCTAGGTGGAGGTTCCCAAACCTCAGTTGTCGTCTTCTGTGCGCCTACAGACTCATCCCCATGTGAAAATTGCCAAGGCTTGGGACTTACACCCTCTGAAGCCATGGCCTGAGGTGTTCTTTGGCCCCTTTTAGCTATGGCTGAAGCTGAAGGAGCTGGGACACAGAGTACCAAGTCCTGTGTCTGCACACAGCAGGGGGGCCCTGGGTCCAGCCCAGGAAACCATTTTTTCCTCCTAGGCCTCCAGGCCTGTGATGAGAGGGGCTGCCTGGAGCCTGATGTGGCGGGGCTGACATTCCCTGGAGACATGTTCTGTATTGTCTTGTTGATTAACATTGGGCTTCTTGTTACTTGTGCAAATTTCTGAAGCAGGCTTGAACCCCAGAAAATGCTCTTTTTCCTCTTGAGTGCTTTGCTGCTTAGAGATTTCTTCTTCCAGATACCCTAAATAATCTCTCTCAAGTTCAAAGTTCCACAGATCTCTAGGGCAGGGGCAAAATATTGTCAGTTTCTTTGCTAAAGCATAGCAAAAACCACTTTTATTCCAGTTCCCAACAAGTTCCTCATCTCCATCTGAGACCACCTCAGCGTGGACTTAATTGTCCATATCACTATCGGCATTTTGGTCAAAGCCATTCAACAAGTCTCTAGGAAGTTCCAAACTTTCCCATATTTTCCTGTCTTCTGAGCCCTCCAAGTCTCTAGGAAGTTCCAAACTTCCTCACATTTTCCTGTCTTCTTCTAAGCCCTCCAAACTGTTCCAGCCTCTGCCTGTTACCCAGTTTCAAAGTTGCTTCCATATTTTTGGATATCCTTATAGCAGCACTCTACTCTCTGCAGTACTGATGTCTTAGTCCATTCTCGCACTGCTATAGGGACATACCCAAGACTGGGTAATTTATAAAAGCAAGATGTTTAATTGACTCATAGTTCTGCATGGCTGGGGAGGTCTCACTTACAATCACGGTGGAAGGAGAAGCAAACATGTCCTTCTTCACATGGTGGCAGGAGAGACAAGTTCAGAGCAAGAGGGGAAAAAGCTCCTTATAAAATCATCAGATCTCATGAAAAACTCACTCACTATCGTGAGAACAGCATGGGGGACCCCCCCCCCATGATCTAATCACCTCCTACCAGGTCCCTCCCCCAACATGTGAGGATTAAAATTTGGATTACAATTCAAGATGAAATTTGGGTGGGAACACAGCCAAACCATATAAGATGGAGTCGTTCGGTGTGGAGACTTTTACAGCTTTCAGAGGGTGAGTATATTTTCCATGTGAAAATAATATAAATAATGTATGGCCAGAGGTCAGACAATGGCAATTTTAAAACATAGTCTGTAAATTCTTTGATACTCTACTAACAAGAAAGAGATATAATTGACCTTCTCTTAAATCTGAGTAAACTTGTGACTGAGCAATGGAGTATAGCAGAAGTGATGATATGGACTTCCATGCCCAGCTCATAATAGTCTTCGTTCACTGGAGACATCACACTTGGGTGTCTAAGCTTCCACATAAGAAGAATATAGCCATGATTTCCAGGAGAATGGAGGAAAAAATAGATTAAAGACTATAAGATGATTGTTAGGCACCACTAAGGGACCACTTGAGGTACAGGTCACTCAACAAATATTGGTAGAATAAATTAAAGGTGATTGAATAAATGAATTAATGAATGGGGTCACTTCATAGTGGATAATCATATCTTTAAATTTGAATAGAAGTTCTTTGAGAATGAAAGGAAATTTAAATAATTAATGATAAATTCCTAAATAGCACATTTAAGACATGACAAGTTAATGAATCTTAAGTTATGTAATGGCCATTTTAGAAATTTAGGTAATTCTAAAACTATTTAAAATTTTCCTACTGAAAAGGAAAAAAGTCAATTTGCTGTGAACAGAAGAGAATGATTTTTGAATCAAGATCACCATCATTCTATAAATATTTGTTTTATGAATGAATAACTCATTTTTATTTAATAGGCACTATGAGTTAAGCCTTGTAAGAAGAGTATTTTCATGCATCATACACCTAAATGATAGATATTATTTAAAAATCTATTACATAATTAAGAAAATGAAGTTAGAAAAAGTGTATTCATTTGTCCAAGAAAAAGGATTAGGGTTTAAGATGGATTTTAGTAAGACTTAAAAATTGCTTTATTTCCAAACTCTCAGCATTCTGCTTTTTTCTTTCTCTTCCGAGACAGTCTCACTCTGTCGCCCAGGCTGGAGTGCAGTGGCGTGATCTCAGTTCACTGCAATCTCTACCTCCCGGGTTCAAGCAATTCTTCTGCCTCAGCCTCCTGAGTAGCTGGAATTACAGGTGCATGCCATCATACCCAGCTAATTTTTTTTTTTTTGTATTTATAGTAGAGATGGGGTTTTATCATGTGGGTCAGGCTGGTCTTGAACTCCTGACCTCATGATCTGCCAACCTTGGCCTCCCAAAGTGCTGGGATTACAGGCGTGAGCCACCTCACTTGGCCAGCATTCTTCTTTTTAAATATAGCAGTTATTTAAGCTTTACTTTGAAAACTTATATCCTAAAAAGGCAGCAACTTGTTTGGAATTCACTTTCCTCAGATAGTCGTACAGCTTACTCCTGCATCACCTTCAAGCCTGCTGAAATATAACCTTCCCAATGGAATCTTCCTTGAACACTCCATTTTAATTGTACCACTCATTCTTGCATTCTCATTTTCCCTTACCCTCATCTAATTTTTTTTCCATATCACTGACCATCTTTTAACACACTATATAATTTAGTTACTTGTATTTATTGTGTATCTCACTGCTCTGAAATGTAAAGTGTCCAATGTCAAACATTTCTCTTTTATTCACGGATGTAAAGCGGGACTAGAATAGTGCCTGGCACACAGAAACATGCATGTTGGGTACATATTTACTGAAGGATGAATGCATGCATTGACTGCAGTGTATGCTTTGACTGTTATGGTGAACAGAAAGACAAAAACCTCATTCACAAGGAATTTTCCCTTCAGCAGGAAAACACTGAGTAGAGGTTTTGTCATAAGTTTCAGTAGGTTAATTCAGCTCAGCCAGCTGTTTCTCCCTACTCTTAGGATTAGTAGTTACTGTTTCGTTTATCATCCCCTTTGTCTAATGTTCTTGTTTCTGAGGTCTCATTTTTTTACTCTTGTCTACTCCATAATATCTTTAAAAAATATTACATAGTTACATTTAAAAGGGAAATCTCTCAATGAAGACAAAGTATACAATAGGGTTACCTTTTAGGGTTCTTTCTTTCACCCTCTCTGCACTGTTGTCAAGGCTTCTTGACAACATCTTGTAACATCTAGTATAATTTAAATCTCCATTTACAGAGCCAATCCTTGGTCTCAGGGCACTCATCCACCTTCAAGCGCCATCAGGACTTACTGGGCCTATGTTTAATCTTGGGATGTTTGTCTGTCCTTCCTTCCCCATTATTACTATTACAGTAATCTCTAGTGAGTGGAATTATTTCCAGCTCGTAGCTACCACCCTCAAACAGCAAGAAGCAATGCAATAATATAGAAAATTAGATGTGATTGGTTTACTCCAAATATATAAATGCCCATTTCCTTTTCAAACAAAATGCTAATATGAACATTTCAGAGTATATCAAGTTAGTATAAGAGAATAGCCACTTGGGAAGATAAAACTGGAGATGGAGATCAGCTAGACTAAGAGAGCATTTAAAGAACCGCAAGTAATGTTTTCAGTATAAATTATGATCTCAGTTTTTGCAAAACCTTTGAAAATAAAAAGACTGCTAAGAATGAAGTTGCGTTAGTCAAGCAGAATGCCATATGCATTCTGATTCCTTCTCTATCTCTTACACACACACACACACACACACACAAACACAAAGGCAAATACAGCACACATGCACATACAATAACAAGATTACAGAATAAATTTTTCTTTACTCTTTAGAATTAAAAAAAAATGAATCCCTTTAACTGGTCAGGAGAGTGCAGACTGTCAGATAAAGAGATAGTTAACTCAGATCCTGGAAAGTACTTTTGGTTGATGGTACAGTTTAACAATTAGGTATTTTATTCATACTTAGTTGCATCATATTTAATTATTGAATTTCTATCTAATTACTTTAGTTATTGTTTATCTTACATTTTCTAATTTTGTTTTTTTATTCACGGTGATACTATTTAATAAAAGTGCTGTTATGCACTTTTATTTTTTTTAATAATATATACTGCATTTATTTTATACACTTTCAAAATATATGCCTAAAGGTGACTTTACTCACCTTCATTTTCAGATTCCCTTTAGCTTATCTTCTCCAAATACAAATAATAAAGTTTCCTTTATTAACTTATGAAAAACAAAATAACAAGCAAATAAAAATATCTATAATGTTTGAATGGGACGTGCTCAATTTCTGAAATATTTCAAACCCAAGATAGTAAATTGAGAGAAATAACAAATCTACTCATAGATCAATAATTTTAAAACTTGAAGAAGAAAAAAGTCCAAATGTTATAACACTTGGTAATATTTAACCACTATTGACAACAAATATTCATTTTTAAAATAAAAATATATTACTTCTATAAAGTGACAAAGTTGATCTATGTTAAATTAGGAATCAATTTTGTACTTGTAGGTGAAAATCCTAGGTACTCCTTTTGGAAACAGATACAAAAAAATCATTTCTAGTCTTATCATTCTTATTTAGTTATTTAAAAAATTTAAATTGTTAGAATAAGATGTGGGAAAACCAATGAGAATAAATATTCAAAGAAGAATTTGAATAATACAATATAGCAAATTAATGTAAAAGAATAAGCTAAAATGTACTGGGTCTAGCATAAATTTAGCATATTAGAAGGTTTAAAGATACGTACCTCAAAGCAATAATTTGCTAGGAAAAGAAATAAGAAAACTGATATTTCCTTCACATTAGTAACAAAAATGTAAAATACATGAAAGTAGCTTTAATAAGAGATGGATAAGAACTCTATACATAAAACTGTAGAATAAAATTGCAAGTAAACCATGATCCAAATTACTGGAGCAGTCATGTTATTTAATGTAAAAATGGAGAATATCTTTGTATTTTGCCTGAAATCCTTTATGAACTTATGAGGCTGAGAACTCTTAAGAACTGCATGTAATTATGATGATCAGTTCCCTAGTTTTTATTCTGTTTTCTTTAAGACTTTGTATTATTCGCAAGTTAGACACCCACAGTCTTTTCTCCATGACCTGTTTGTCATTTTCCTTTCTTTCTTCTTTCTATTGTTTTTCTGCATTTCTTATTGTACATTTTAATAATTTCAACGATTATTTTAATTTTACTTTTGCATATTTTTCATTTGTAAAGATATATTCATTGCCTTCTCTTGTTTAATGCCAAAGCCCTCCTTTGTTTCTTTAAAATAGATTTCACAGGATCTCTCTTCTTTTTGTATACAGTGTGAAAAATCTTTTCAAGTCAAGTTTAGCTCTGATTGTTCTTGAATTGTTATTCTTTTGTGCTGCAAAATGTTTTCTTGTTTCCAAATTCATTTGAAGTTTGAATTTTCACAGATATCCTTGGTTATATTCTGTTATTCTGTAATGTTTTTGCTTGTTTGCATCAGGTGATGCTGACACTAATATAGTTCAATGTTAGTAGGCTGCTGATATTTTGGAAATCCTTTATTATCTTTGCCAGATTTTCCTAAATCTTATTCTAACCAAGGTAGCAGCTCAGTTGGCAGGGAGTTCAAGCCCACTGCTAAGAGCGTCACTCAGGTTAGAGACATAGTACCTACTAATGACAAATTCACCATTAGATTTATCAGGGGATAGTTGGACAATGTAGTGCAAAATGAAGATCCTAGCTAAGAAGTTGGTCATAAATAATTCATTAACTAGATATACTTAAAAAATTTATGCAAGTTAAAATTCAGGAATATTTGAATGATAATACCAGCAGAGAAAATTCAGTGACAATTGTTTTGTTTAAAAAGATGAAGTCACATAAAAAGGAAAAATAAGAGAGATAGAAAGAATAAGATTAAAACATAAGGTTTAGAGGAGCCTAACAAACTGAGCAGAATGTACAAATTATAGCAAAACAGAAAATCAGTTACCAAATCTGATGAATATAAAAATAGAAATCTTAGATATGAAAAACAAATATGGCTTTGAATGCAGGAATGGTGCCAGGAGAGTACTAGCATACCAATTAAGAAAACAATGTCTTTCTGGAATGTGATAAAAATAAGATACCTAAACCCAAATCATTTTAAAGAAGAGATAAGAGATTGTGACGCTGCCTTGTGCATTATCACAGCATACTCACAATATAATTTCAAGATAATTTTTTTAAAGAAAATATCCAATAACTAGTGGGTAGTATACAAAAGCCTACCAACAAGGAATCCTAACGAGGACATGACCGTTTAATTTCATCAAAATCATTATCATTTGTGCCCTAGTGAATTACTGTACTCAGCCCAGATGGTTCCTGCAAAAATAGAAGGAAACAGATAAAAAGAAACAAAGTAAGCCTACTTTTGTAGAAACCAATTAATGAACAATGTAAATAAGTAAAGTGAGCAAATAGATAAGTTAATAGATATTAAAGCTCTCTAAGCTGCCTGTCACTCACGTACAATTGCAGGGTGTATCATAGTTAGATGATGTTGTAGTAACTTGTAGTAACAAGTGTTACTACAACTTGTTGTAGTAAAACTTTTTAATATATTTATTCTCATACCATCATTACCTAAGCTTTCATAGCACCATGACTGATACCATTTTTTGTTTTTTCTAGGATTTTTAATTTTTTAAAATAATCACTTGTTCTTATCTCCATAAGGACCTTCAAGAAATGGCTGACAGAAGAGAAAGATCCCCTAAAATGGTAATTATGCCCTTTTGTCCTTAACCTGTGAAAGTATTTCATTATAATCTGTTTTACTCACTAATAAACTCAATAATAAAATGAGTATAGAAGAAAAATGCCCTTGGTTTGGGTGGTTGCATGCCATCTGGAGAATGCAATGTAGAGGACTAATGTTTTTGTGAAATTTGTACAAAGTGGCTATAATGATATTTCCTTTTCTTTATGTTCTATGCATATTTGATTATTAAAATCACTCTCAAATCATCTAATAAGTTGGTTGTTACAAGTGGCACCAATTCAAAATCCTAGGCATCACTTGAAGTAGCACTGAACAAGTCCTAGCAATGATACAGTGGGCTATGCATAAAAGGAAGTTAGATGACCTAGCTACATGACCTAGGTTCCCTGGTGTCTAATATAGTCTGCGCCATGCATACATTCAACTCATGCTATGGGACAACTTTTTAAAACCTAAAGGAGAATATGAGCAAGGGTGCAGGCAGGGATTACAATGTGCTACTGCTCAGGGAAGAAGATTTTTATCAATGTTAACATATCTTGGGGGAGCACAAAGCCCCATTGCTTTCCAAATATCTCTTCCTCCTTTTTGCTGATGACTTAAATTCCAACATTAAGAGCTTCATCGACTCTTTAATCTTGACTGAACATGATTTGGAATTTTAATTTTGTTTTGAATAGCTCCCAACACAATTCCAATGGCATTCAATTTCAAACCCATTGCTGATTTTTTTTTTTGACTTTACTCCGTTCATTTAGGTACTGTGATTTTATATTGCTTTTTCTTTTATACCTATTTGTTTAGTCTACCATATCATACTTGGGTGGATGATGTCCTCATTTTTATGTATGCTTTTCTTCCTTCTTTTTCCTCACAAAATGGGTCCACTAGATGCAAACCTTAATTTTAGTAAATTATTATCAAAAAATAATACCCACATACTCATTTTCCAAAACTACTTAATTTAGTGGCATGAGATTAGTTTCAATCATTTTAGGAAATAGTTTCAACATTTATGAGGTTCTGTAACTGTAATTGAGCTATCTAGTTTTTAGCTTATAATTGGTTTGAAGTTTTTAGCATTTAGCTTCAAAATAACATTGGCTTTTGTAGGCTCTTTGGATTTTATAAATCTTATTATACTGTTGGATTAAAGAGTTTTCAAGTTGGCATATTATGTACTTCCCAGAGTGAGTGGATTCTTTTTTTTTTCCCAAAAGGGAAAGAGAAGGACACTTTGAAGGCATTAAGTTCTTAATGGGTGAAAAGGAAGCACACTAAAGAGTGAAGGGGGCATAGAAAACTGAGGCTGAGAAAACTGAGGGAGAGCAAATGGAATGGGCTTTCCATTTATGTAGAAGCCCAAGACACCTTAGAATCATCACATCTCAGTCTATTCCCTCTCTTGAAAATTCCTCCACTTCCCTTCTTGGTTTAATCCTCATTATTCTGTTTTTTTTTTTTTTTTTTTTTTTAATTATTGTGGATACATGGTAGTTGCACTTATTTATGGAATGCATGAGATATTTTGAGATAAGCTAACAATGCATAATGGTCAACTTAGGGTAATTGGAATATTCATTACTTCAAGCATTTACCATTTCTTTGTGTTAGGAACATTTCAATTCTACTCTTTTAGTTATTTTGAGATATACAATAAATTACTTTTAACCATAGTCGCTCTGTTTTGCTGCCAAACACTAGATCTTATTCCTTCTATCTAATTGTATGTTTGTACCCATTAACTATACCCTCTTTATCCACCCTCCCTACTTCCCTTCCCAATCTCTTGTAGCCATCATTCTACTCTCTAACTCCATGAGGTCAATTATCCTTTAGCTCCCACATATGAATGAGAACATGTGATATTTGACTTTCTGTGACTGTCCTATTTCACTTAATGTAATATCCTCCAGTTCTATCCATATTGTTGCAAATGAAAAAATTTCATTGTTTTATGGCTTAGTAGTATTCTGTGGTGATATATTCCAAAAGACACCATATTTTCTAAATCTATTCATCTGTTGGTGGTCACAGGTTGATTCCATGTCTTTGCTATTATGAATAGTGCTGCAGTAAACAGCACTATTAATACAAAAAAAACAGTACAGACTTTTTTTGAGGTACTGATTTTTTGTTTTTGGGTATATACCCAGCAATGAGATTGCTGGATCATATGGTAGATTTATTTTTAGATTTTTTGATGAACCTTCATACTGTTTTCCATAGTGGCTGTACTAATTTACATTCCCACCAATAGAGTATGAGGGTTCCCCTTTTTCTGCATCCTCACCAGCATCCATTATTATCTGTCTTTTTTTTTTTTTTTTTGAGACAGGATCTCGTTTTATTTCCCAGGCTGGAGTGCAGTGGTGTGATCACAGCTCACTGCAGCCTTGACCTCCTGAGCTCAAGCAGTCCTCCCATTTCAGCCTTTTGAGTAGCTGAGACTACAAGTGTATGCCACCATGTCTGGCTAATTAAGAGAATTTTTTTCTGTAAAGACAGGGTCTTACTATGTTGTACAGGCTGATCTCAAACTCTTGGGCTCAAGTGATTCTCCTGCCTCAGCCTCCCAAAGTGCTAAGATTATAGGAGTGAGCCACTGTGCCCAGCCTGTTGCCTATCTTTATTCTAACAGATCTGGTTTAAATGTGACATCTTATATCAAATCTTCCTTGACTCCCCTTTCTCCTCCAAACAGGTCAATCTTTCACCTGCATGCATTGGATCTGATTGATTGCAGTACAAAGTTGTCAGAACTTACTGCCATAGAGATGATGCTGTACTTTATTCAGCTGTGCATGTTTTTACTCCTCTGACTTAAGGAGGATGGGGAAGGAACTAAAACACATTGAGCACTCATTTCCTGTCAGACAACACCATGATGAACATTGCATATTGCTCTTACACAAGCCTTGTGAATTAAGTTAGGGACTTCATTAGATTTTATACCACCCTGCATTTACTTTATAATCATTTATAAAAATACATTAATTTGGAGATTATTTTCAGTCAATCTTCTCTGCTAAACTCTGGGAGAGCATGCACTGTGTTTTGGTTACCTTCCTAGGGTCCAGCACTAGGGCTAGTACCTAAAAACGAATCAATAAATATCTGTTGAATGAATGAGTGAATCAATAAAAATGTATTTTATGCCTATTTTATAAATGGGGAAACCCAGTCTCAATAAAAGTGAATAATTCAAGGTCACTTAGCGAGTAGGGGCAAACTATGACCAGGCTGACAACTATTGATCCCCATTCCAGTCAAATTTCAACCAGACTTCCTGGCATTTAACAACACAGGCTGAGGGATAGACAGGAAGTTCTTGAAACAGAGCAGAATGAAGTCAAATATTTGTCATCCATTTAAGTTACATCAGAAACACATTACTCCATCATTCGTGTTTCTCATTCAGCAAATACTTATGCATATAACTTCCTACTCTTGTTATACTGACTCTGATTCCATCAGCTACCGTTGGCCTAGGAATTCAGCATGACCTTGCAATTACAAGCATCTCTTTAAACCCCCATGTTTAGAAACCATTGATTTCGTCTTGACATTTATTCTCCCGATTTTCCATGAAAGGTAATGTTGATTTTTCTATGTGTTTAGCAAAAACTGCATTTCCAGAATTTCCTTAAATGTAGATGTGGTCCTGAGACCAAGTTGTGTAAGATATACATAAAAATGTTACATGAGACTTCTGGGAGGTCCCCTTAGAGGGAGATGATGGGCTGTTCTTTCTCTCTTTGTCTGTCCTGCTGTGGATGTGGTCTTGAGCTCTGGTGTCCATCTTGGATCTGAGGACAAATGCCAAAGCCTAGTGCACCACTGGAGTCAGTTTAAGTACATACTGCCAAGTATGCTCATCCTGGATTACTTCTTTTCTTCTTTTATTTAAGAGAAAAATCAGTGACATCTTATGTAAGCTGTTGTTTTCTGGGACTGTTTTACTTGCAGCCAAATGTAACACTAACTGATACCCATCCTAAGAGAAATAAAGATACCTAAACATTAGCAAGTCTTCTGGCTTCAGGAGATAGCAAAAGAGAAATCTCATATGCCTATAAAATAAGCCTTTCAAATGGGCAAGTAATTTTAAGGAAAGATTAGCTACAGATATATTCCATAAAATAAAAAAGTCCAAAAAATAAAAATAATATAGTCATAAAACTATCAGCCAAAACAAATTTGAAACATGAAACATTTTCATTTCTATTTAAGATCATTGATTCCATCTTTCAGTGTAGCATAAATTATGCATTATGAAAATTACCTCATAAGTAAATATAAAACTAGTTAAGAAAAAACAAATTTAAAAAATCAAATTGAAAGTACAGTATAGGAAATCTTATTAGAGGATTCTAAGGCAATATGGAGTAAAATATTTTTGAAAATGCAAAGGAGAATGTAACCTTTGATTTTAAAGAACAATATCATGTGATTATGAATGTTCTCCTGCATAAAATTAGCATATTGTCTTGAAGGGATCAAGGAGATTAACAGTTGGATTGTATTTATATTTTTCACTCTTACTGCTTCCAATTCAAAAGACTACGATACCACTGAGCCTGCCCCAGAAGAAATGATCACACCATCACAATTGTCTGCAAAGCAGGCCTCATAAGTTGCATCCTGGGGCAGGTCGAAGCAATTGGGGCAAATTCTGCCATTGCTGTCTTTTGAGGGAAACTTCCATCAGAGCTAAACCATAAATGGTGATATCATAAAGAAACTACATCTCTTGAATTTGGTTGCCTGCACTGTGAAGATTTCAGATGCTATGCACCTACTTTCTTTTAGCTGCCTGCAGATTCTTAGGTAGGGAAATGTGCTTCTTCCTCAATGTCATCTGACTCTATTTCATACTTCATGTCTACTTTAATAGTTCAGAATATATGCAACATCTAATGTTGATGGTTCTCCTTGCCAAATTGTTTTTTATAGTGTTTTTTTCCTGAAAATATTAACTTATTGATTGAAAATACATTTACCAAGGGCCTACTGTATCCCAGGTGCTATACTAGGCACTAGTTAGAATCTTTCAGGTCTGTACAGTCTCAGCAACCCTGGGAAGGAATTCAATCTTTGATCCTGTCTTAAAAAACAGTTTATACAATATTCATCACCCTTCTTCTTAATATTTTTTTGGGGGAACTACATTTAAGTAATGAGAGCCTCTGCTGCACCATTGGATAGATGAGAGAATATTTGTCCATGTCCGTAACCCTTTCAGGGAATATTCTCATGAAAAAAAAAAAAAAAGAATCAGGAGTGTCTCAGATTATAACAAATGGTGAACTAGCGGGGGGAGAACAGTGGGTAATATTAGGAATAAGATCACCCCATCTGCTTAGGAGACTTCAGAGAAGAGTTATTGAAGCAGAGACTAAAATTAACACCAGATCAGATTACTAGTTATTTGGTCTAATAGTGATCTTCAGTGAAGTACATGATTCTCTAGTCGACTGAGACCAAGAATCTGTGCTTCTATTTCAACAAGAAATGTAAATGTTAAAGTAAGAAAAAAAGATTAAATTTAAAGTCTTCCCAATGAGAAGGGAAAAAAAAGTATTTTTCCACTTTCATGAGTATAATGCTGGCTGCTTATTTTCAAAATGTTAATTTGCTTTTTCATAATATACTTAGTAATTAGTGAACAAAACTATAATGTACTGTGGGTATGATTTAAAGGCTTAAATGACAGACTCTAACTACAATAATTTCAGTTCTGATGTGTTGTTAAATAACAATATATTCTAAATGAGTAAACTTGAAATAACTAAGCCATTGGGGACTATTGGCCACCTGATAATTAAACTTGATCTAACATGGACATCAAAACCAATTATATGTACTAAGCAGAAAGACAGGTCAACTCCTCAGAGAGATGAAATGAACTTGGACAGATGGACAGAATGCAAATCATGCAGGTTTCTTAATGAAGGAGAAATGAAATGCAATTTGAAGCCCTGTGAAAAATCTGGATAGCTATTCCTAGAGTACAAATCACTGAAAAAAAATTAGGTTGAGACTAGATGGATTGCCACATTTCCAACCACCATGAAACCATTCCTCTAGAGAATTTAGATTTTCAAGTCTTTTAGGCAATGAGGTTTAGGACAAAATGGCTTTTGTGGTGTCTTTGTATTAGTTTGCTAGGGAAGCCATAACAAAGTGCCTCATGCTGGGGGGACTTTAGCAACAGAAATTTATTTCCTCACAGCTCTGGAGGGTAAGAGTTCAAGACCAAGTCATCACCAGATTGGTTTCTTCTGAGAACCTCTCTCCTTGGATTGCATATTGCTGTCTTCTTCTGGTTTTCACATGGCCTTTTCTCTGTGCCTGTGCATCTCTGGTGTCTCTTCCTCTTTTTAGAAGGCCACTATTCATATTGGATTAGGGCCCACCCCAAAAGCTTTATTTCACCTTAATTCCTTCTGTAAAGACTCTATCTCCAAACAGTCCTATTTCAAGGTACTAGGGATTAGGCTTCATCACATGAATTTTGGGAGGACACAATTCAGCCCACAATACTTATTGCACAATTTAGACACAATTTAGAGAGCAGAAACATCAAAATATGGAAATGAATAGAGAGAAAATCAGTTGAGTACCTTACCAGAGGGAGGTTTGATCTGTTGGTAGGGTGACAAACCATCCCGATTTTCCAGGAACTATCCTGGTTTTAGCATTGAAAGTCTCATATCCTGTCCTCAAACGACAATGGTTGGTCACTCAGTGTCGTGTGCTGGATACTCTACAAGTATAGTTAAACGTAGGAACATGTTTAGTGACCCAAGGAATTATGGTGGTATGATAAACAAATCATTATGTTCTTTAAAATTTTATTAGGAGTGTAAATTATACTCCAGCCAGCAGGCCTCCATATGAGTATGAAGTTGAATCCAGGAAGGTCTCACATCATTGGAAAGTTAACAGATCTACAGTTTGTATGAGAGTGGCACCTTCTTAGTGGCCAGCAAACTTCTCTCAAATGTCCCTCAGTGACAGATTTTATCACTTAAATGTAACTTCTTTTCTTTCTTCTTAGGTTTTATTCAGGGAGAAGAGTATTTTTTCCCCAAATTCCAGGACTTATATTTAGGATGATCTTAAGTCCTATTTTTCCTGGGACAGTCTCATTTTACCTATTGTTTCAGAATAATTTTTAGTAAATACTCCTTAAATTCTCCAAAAGTCCCTGTTTGTGAGATAAATTACATGGTCACCCAACTTCTGTTGCTCAAAGTTCTTCTGGCTCCATACACTTCTCTGCTTTTCTCCTCGTGTGACGGAGCAGCTTCTCCACTAGCCATTCACAGGCATAGATTCCTCCAGTCCCTGTGTGACTCCTCTCTTCACTCTCTGATCAGAGCAATGGAGATGGGACTCACTTATTTTGTTTTAGACCCCCCTACTTGACCAGATCTTGTATTTTGATAACAAAAGAGAAAGTATAATTTTTCCCTCAGCAAAGAATCAGGGCACAGGAGCTTATATATTAGGGAGAAAATTAGAGAGTTTAAAACAATGCAAATAAATTACATGTGTGTACAACATACTTTCAGTAATCATGAAATCTCAAGGGATTTCAGGAAACGTATAGTTGAATCTTCTCCTTTTGCTAAGGAATAACGTGAGGCTTACACAGAGGAAGCGATTTGTCATGGAGTATAACCTAATTTGACCTAGTTAGAGGAAGATTCCTGACCACCAATGAATTTGATATTTCCATTACCCAAGTCAGGTATTTTTATCGCATAAGAAGAATATGATAACTGTTTTCTTACAATATCTTTTCTGGGCTTCTTTGTATCTTAAAACAACATATTTGTTTTCCTAAATGCAATTCTATTTGGCACATCTTAGAAAAAGTATAAAATAGATGTAAGCCAAAGAAATTTAAAAAATTTTAAGTCCACTCCTCAGAAGTGATCACAGAATCATTTTCTTCCATTATGATTCCAGTTTAGTGCATGTAATCATGTGTGTGTGGTATGTGTGTGTAGGCAAAAATTTATGCATCTACCTATGTCTGTGATACAAATTGAGATTGCTCCATCTTATGATATACGTTAACTATATCTTTAAAACTAAATATATATTATGAACACATTTAGCCAACCATGATGTTACCATTGAAAATTTAACTGATTTTTTCTTTTTTGTTGTTGCTATTATAAAAAATGTTGCCGGAAAACTCTATGTGATAGTGTTTGTAAATTATTACTTATATCTGTGCTGCTAGTTACCTGAAGTGAAAAATTACTAATCAGAAGTCTGCACATTCTTAGTCCTTTTTAAAATGCTTTGCATATGGCTGCTCAGGAAGGTTGTGCCAATTCATACACCTGCAGCACTATGGAAGCATTTCTGTTTTCCTCCAACCCTTGACAACACTGGCAGTTCTCTTTTTATAGTTTCTGCCAGCTTGATAGAGAAAAATAGTGTATTCTGGTTGTAATTTGCATTCACTTCATTATGATTATACTTGTGCGGTTTTTACATGTTCATAGGCCTTTTGTAAAGTGCCTGTTTCTATTTTTTAACCTTTTCAGTTCTTTTTATTTGTTGTTTATCTTATCATACGGCAATAGATCTTTATAATAACACAATAATGTATTAACATAATCACTGCTTGAGTTGATATGTGTTGTAAATACATTTAATATTTTTCAATTTCGTTTTAATGATTTTTTAAACTTGAAGTGTTAAGAAGTGTTGCTCTGTTATGTCTTATTTTACTTATTTTCTGCACCCTAAATATTATAGAAATACTCATTCTTATATTAGTAATCCATTTTTATTAATTGATTCGTTCATTTTTACATTTACATATCCCTCCAGCTAGAAATTTGCGTGTGAATAAAGTGTGAGGTAGGGATGTTATTTTATTTCTTTTTATAAACAATCAGCTGTTTGTGTCAATGATAATCATTGAAAGATCCACCGTTTTCTATTTGAAATAGCTCTTTACCATATTACTTCCAATACTAAAACACCACAATGCATTTTAAATACATGTTGCAACAAATTTCGGTATACTACAGACTTTACTTTTAAAAAATGATGTTGGATATTGTTTCTTCCTCTTTCTTCTTGATGACATTTTTAATCACTTTATTATCTCCCAATATTAAATTAAGTAGAGTTTTGAATAAATTTTAACTTAATAAGAAAATTTTTGGGGAGAGGTAAAACCATGTCTTTATCTTTAAATAAGAACTTTGTATGACTCTTCATTTTCCCATATATGTGTGTGTGTGAGTGTTCTTTAGTAAGCTTCTGAAGGGTGTATTAATATTATTGTTTAAGCAACTAATATCTTGACATGTCATATAGTGAAACCAACTATTTTTCAGTTGATTATCTCACATTGTATAGGTCAGCAATCTTATTATTTAAAATTACTGAAATTTGGTTTTAATTTTTTATTGTGTTATTTTTCTTTCCACTCCCCTGGAAAATTCATACCATTATAGAATAATAATAGTGATAGGAAGCACTCCTCACTCCTTATAACAGACTTTAATATATATGAAGGCCTCTATTGCGATATTTGTTGATGATATCAGTTATATATATATTTTTCATGTTAATTACTTTCTGTTTTAATTTTACTTAAAGCTTTTTTTTTAAGTTTACAAGTGAATTTCAATTTTTATCAAACACCCTTTAGTGTTCTTCAAGATAATATTGTAGTTCTTAGCCTACCACTTAGAGTAATAAAATGTATTAGACTTTTTTAACTTTGTGTCCTTTCTTGCTCAGAATAAATTTTGCACAATTATAGATTATAATCCCTGAAATTTTATTTATAAAATTATACATATGTTACATTTACATACATCTATGTTAATAAATTAGGTTGTTTCATAAACACACACACACATTGTCAAGTTTTTACAACTTCTAAAATCAGTCAGGATATTTTCCCAAAACCTAGGTTCTTTATTTATTATCTGCAATTATCTTTTTCTCAGATGATTGGTAGAACATGCTTATGATATCAATCAAGTCAGAATCTATTTGATTGGTAGTTCTTGAACATGTTTTTCCATTTCAGGAAGGGTAGGCTAACGTACTTACATGGCTTAATACAATAAACATGTAATCATCATTCAAGCCACTATCTAATACAGCATGTTGGGATGGAAGGATTTTGTTTCACTCAGGCATTCCCAGTTCCACCTTCCTTTCATTTTGTGGATTAGTCCTCCTGTAGGCCTTGCACAGGTGAAGATCCTGGCTGTATCTACTTAATTCGACAGGCAACGGGGAGCTTTTGAATATTTGTGTGCAGAAGGCTGGAGGTCACAGATGTATGATATACTTAGTAAGTGCTGGGAGAAGAAAGAAAGGAGATCTATCAGAAAGGAGCGAACAAGGGAAGGAGAAAACAGATCTACTCCACTACGCTAGCACGCAGAGGAGGATGTAGAATGGTGAGTGTGAGGTCACTACGGGCTATGCTGTAAGTGATGTACAGCCTTTCTGCTCATATATATGTGTGTCATCAGAAAGAAGAGGAAACCAGATATTTCTATACCCCAATAGTCTCTGGCAAATGAATTAATTTTAATCATTTATTTTTTGTTATGAAATTGGGTAATTCTTTAAAGTTTTTATAGTTATTAGCAGATAATTATACAGATTTTTTTATTTGCTATTCTCCATCTGTGGTTAAATCATTTCCTAGCCTTCTTCAGTCCCATCTTTCCTTTCTGCCTGCTTTTCTTCCTCCCTTTTCTGTTTCCTTCTTCCCTTGTTCCCTCCTTTCTGATAGATCTCCTTTCTTTCTTCTCCCAACACTTACTAAGTATATCATGGGTCCGTGACTTCAAAGAGCCACAAAGACTGTCTTATTACTTGTGCCTACCCACTGTCTAGCACTGTGCCCTTCTCAATTTAGGCACTCACTAAATCGCCAAATTGGACTTAAATTGAATCAGCTATTTCCCAGGTTGCTCTAATAGCCTCCAAATTGTTTACTCAACCTCCAGTAATATACCCAATATCCAACACACACTGCCAGATTCATTTTCCTGCAACACAACCCGGACAACCTCCAGCATTCTGCAAACAAATATTCAAGAGCTCCCCATTGCCTGTCAGATTAAGTAAATGCAGCCAGGATCTTCACCTGTGCAAGGCCCCTCTATTCTCAGGTGCTAGATCTTATTTCTCATCACTCGTGCATACTTGCTTTGTGTTTTAACTAATCGCAAGCCCCATTATAATACTTTACTTATATATGTGTTGTTTTTTAAAATTCACGATATGCTTTCCTCTTCCTTCAGAAAATGGCTCCACCTGAAAAGCCCTTGTATTGCTCATTCTGCCTTCCATTGGCTTGCTTGTTCTTTAAGGGCTTGCTATATTCTCTCTTCTACCCTCAACTCCACGGACCATTTCTCTTCTTTCTCTCACAATCACGTGTGGCACAGTGGAGAAAACTCTAATCACAGAGGAAATTTCTACTAATATCATCTGTGCCTCTGATTATTCAAAGAAGAAACACATTTTGGCAGTGTTCTCTACTATTTATCTGCCTTTTAAATGTTGAGAATAAGCCTAAAGACCAAACCAAAGCATGTATTTGGGGAATCCTAGTCTGAGACAAGCTGATGGAGAGATGATTTTGCCAAACCCAAGAACATAGCTGAGTCCTCTGAAGAGGTACTAAAAATAAAAGCATAGGCTTTCATAATACTTTCTGGGGCATCTGCCTCTTAATTCCAAATGAAAAAGGAAAGAGTTTAAATCAACTTTTTGATAAAGCGTGTCTACGTAACCCACACACACACAAAATTACGGTGAGAAAGGCGACATGGCCATACAGCTCCTGACTAAATTAAATGGTAATGTCCATTTCTATTTAAAAAAAGGTTTATATTTTATTTATACTTGATATTTCAGTAGATCTAACATAATTTCCAATTTAGATATGGAAAACTGAAAATGTGCAGAAATTACAGCTTAATGCCTGGGGTAAGAAGAGAAGAAATTCACCTTTTTACAATTCAATCAAATGCAGAATAGGAGCAGTTAATAATTGTAGAATATGAATAATCAGATAAGACATTTTCTAGTGAAAACTCATAAATTTTATTTTTGGAGTACATTAAAATTCAGTTAAATTTTAAAATCACAGCATATCTTGAGCCACTGTGAATAGTTGCTGTATCTATAGAAATCTATTTTAGAGATATGCAAGTACAAATTATAGAATGTCAGCATGCAATTTGATTTTATGTGCTTTTCCACTAATATAAATAATGAAGCATGCTGAGAGCATTCAGCTGTATATTCAGCTGAGTATAATTAAAATACTGAGGTATAACATGTTAAAAAAAAGAAACAAATTAAGTACTAAAATGAAGTAGGTAGAAATACCAGCAATTCAAAGCGATAACTACGCTGTGATTACAGTATTGTGAATAGACTAAATCTAATATTTTGGCTTAAATGAAATCAGTGATAGCTGGAAAGTTAATAGAAGCAGTGCCTTTATATTTTCTGCAAATAATGGAAAGGTTTCATTTCAGGAACACACATTTTTTTTGCCATCTCTGGAAATAAGTCTCCATGGTATTCTGAATAAGCATTCTCACCCAAATGGAACAAACTCTCTGATGAAATTGGCCACTGGGGCCTACAACAAATAATTAAAATGGGATTTGGGAATCAGTTGATTTTTTACGTCCAACACTCCCTATTGGGTTAGTTGAATGAGGGCAAATCAGCTTCTTCAGACCATGTGAAAAACACAATTGAACTTCCTGCTGGTCACCACTAATTACACAGCGATTGTGACTGCCCACTCCAGGCTGAAGGCAAATTTCCCTTTAGGTTTTGTTGCTGAGGCCCGCCAAAGGACCAACTATTCATTCATGCTTGCCAGGGCTGATTTGGAATAAGAGGTACTGGTATTCTGATAACAAAGAGCATTTGAATAACTGTGTTCCATTCTGTCCCATGAAGCACTAACTTTAGCCCTACTATGTTATAAATGGGGTCCCTAGGTTTTTATAGAACGTACATTGTGCTCCAACCTCAAGTTTCAACTGGGGCTTCTAGTAGTTACTTGGGATTTATGAGAACCAATATCTTATGAGATGGGTGAGAAAAGTTGACTTCATTCTATAACTATCAACAAAATATTAAATATAGTTTGGGGAAGAAGAGATTGGAGAAGGTGAAGAGACAAGATCACAATCTATTCTCGACCAACTTCAAAGCTGGGGCTAGAATTCCAAAGTTAGATTTAGAATCGGAATAGTAATATACAAGTAAATACAAGAACGCTTTTCATTGTTTGACCTTGCTGGGTCTACTTATTCTTGGATCCAGAGTTTTTCTCTTTTTTGAGCAATTCTTCATTTTCTGAATCATGTCCTTACATAACCCCCTGAGAAAAGGTGAATGAGAAACAACCTTCCTTAGTCCTTGCACATGTCTCCTGTTGGGACAAAAGCAATGCCTTACCTTCTTTATCTATAAACATTAATTGAACTTGTCTATCGACAGGTGTTCAACTACCACTTGTATTAAACTTCTTGACCATGTTCATCCTTACTCTTAGAATATTCATCCTGTGATTTATACACAAAACAATGAAAGAATGATAGGAAACATGATTTACCAAATTGTCAAACTGTGCAACCCTTTGCAAAATTCTTAATATCTCTGAGACTTAGTTTTCTCATCCGTGAATAGGAATAGCAATAGGTAATCTAGAAAGTTGTGGAGATGCCAGGCGTGGTGGCTCACGCCTGTAATCCTAGCACTTTGGGAGGCTGAGGCTGGTGGATTGCCTGAGCTCAGGAGTTCAAGACCAGCCTGGGGAACATGGTGAAACCCTGTCTCTACTAAAATACAAAATAAATTAGCCGGGCCTGGCAGCGTGTGCCTGTAGTCCCAGCTACTCAGGAGGCTGAGGCAGGAGAATTGCTTGAACCAGGGAGGCGGAGGTTGCAGTGAGCCAAGATCGTGCCGCTGCACTCCAGCCTGGGTGACAGAGTGAGACTCCGAGTCTTAAAAAAAAAAAAAAAAAAGAAAGTTGTGGTGATAGCTGTACAAAATGCAAGTTCAGCGTGTACCGTACCACAGTGCCTGGTGCAGAGTAGGTAAGTAGGTGTCACTAAGTGTTGGTGTTACATTATTGTAATTTGGAATTAATGGGAGGGGGACATCAAATTTTCATTAACAGCATAAACTTTTTCTACCCTCTTCTCATATATAGGTTATTTTGCTTAAGTGAAAGCTGTGCTCTTTTGTTTTTTAGGTTTTTTTTGAAATAGGGTCTCCCTTTGTTGCACAGGCTGGAGTGGGATGGCATGATCATGGCTCACTGCAGCCTCAACCTTCCAGACTCAAGTGATCCTCCCACCTCAGCTTCCCATGTAGCTGGGACTACAGGAATGCACTACAATGCCTGGCTAATTTTTCTATTTTTTGTAGAGGCGAGATCTCACTGTTGCCTAGGCTGGTCTCAAATTCCTAGACTCAAGTGATCCTCCTGCTTTGGCCTCTCAAAATACTGGGATTACAGGATTAAGCCACCATGTCCAGCAGTGTATGATTTTTTAAATTTTTTGAATATCTATTAAGTTTGAAATTTAAAACAAAGTTTTTTCTCATTTAAAGAAAATGGAGAACACTGAATACTGAGAAGTTTTGAAATACTCATGTTTAATTTTGTTTACCCATTGCTTCCCAAACGTATTTGACAAAGAAACACTTTGTGTGTATAACACCTATTAACAAACTGCATATGGGATATTAAACAAAATGACACATCACACAAACAGAATTATTATAGTTCTCATGTAATAGCAGCTTGTAATGAATGGATGAATTTGTACATGAAAGAATGATGCTTTTCTTACCTTCATACTAGGTTATAGATGTGGAATGTCTCTTCTACATTCTAGCCATCCAAATCTTACTTTGTTTCTTTCCCAGATTAAGTGCTATACATTTGCAATTATAGCAAATAATTTTTCTGAATTACAGAATATACTACTGGTTGTCGGTCATTTGGCATTTGGTTCTATTCTGTCTTGTTTTGTTCTATAATTTTCTTGTGTATGAGTCATTGTGGCAGCTCCAAGGAGTAGAGGAGTGTGTTTGTCATTGATTTTATACCATTCTAACAAAACCTGGCATAGAACTGGGAGAAATACACTATAGTGGATTTGTACCTTTTAATCTTATTCTTCTGTAAGTACTGTGATTTTTTTTTTTTTTTTTTAGCATCCGGGGATTTATTGCCCAAAATGATGCTCAAGACCCCTCACATCAGCAGAAGAACAAAACGGTGAGTGAAATTACCCAATTTCTGCAGAACGCATAAACATCCTGAATGTAGGTCACACTCATTGCCTGATGTGCTGTGCATGTCATGTTTCAACAAAGCAGCTGCCACGAGTAGCCAAACTCCCGGAAAGCAGCACAAACCCAAAAAGAGCAGCCATTTGGAAACACATTTTCATTGACCATTTGGGGAAGTTGGGCATTCACTTAAGAAAAAGCCATAATTCTGTAAGAAATGAGCAATTTATGCATATTATAATCAAATTTATTTTTATATCCAGCTACTCCTACATGTGGGATAATTCAGTCTGGGAAATCATGCTAATTAGTTAGAAATCCATTACATTGTAAGTCTTGTAGCAGATGCAAATGCTGTTTCAAGTATTCTTACAACCATAATGCATGTGCTTTTATTAGAATGCATTCCCAGTGGTGGGCAGTTTGTTGGTGAACCAGGCTTTAAAGTTCATTTGAGGGAAAACACTTTTACAAACACCATCGATGGCATTTTAAATGCATTTTTAATGTATTTTGCTTTAAAGTATAAGGAGAATTCCACCCGTCAGAAGACTGGTCAGAGCAGCAAACTTTTCAAGGCAAAATAATAATGATGGTAGTGATAGTGCTGGATTCTAATGGTCAATGAGATGCATCTTTGCTGAACTCAACATCTGGGCATGCCCTTTGCAGATTGTATGGAAGAGTAATGAGCCCCAGAGTAGGACTGGAGAGACTGAGATTCAGAGACAATGTCTCTGCTTGTGGATCACCCTGGCCATGTCACAAGCCTGTTAGATGTTGTGCTCTCTCCACTATAATCACAAATATCAGAACTCTCTCTGTCTTCATCAAAGAGCTGTTGCAAATTTAGACTAAGGTGGATATGTAGTTTCTTATTTAAACAGACAGTATTTTGGGATTATTGAAAATATTTTAACCCCGTTAAAAAGAAAAGCTTGGTTCGAATCGTGTAACCTCTATTAAAGATTTCATATACTGCATATTAATTGTATTTCAAAATAAGTAATAAACCACGAGATCTAATTGAGGAGCTCTACTGACAAGAGAACTACCTTAAAAAAGATTCTGTGATGAGTTAGGGCTTTGGGGTGTAGGAACTAATAGGCTAGAAAAGTGAATTTGGCAAAATTTGTATTTTAGCTCCATATTTAAAAAATTAAAGAGAAATGAATATATACACCAGTCTTTTTCCATTCATAACAACAACAACAACAAACGTCCCTGCACAGTTACCTGCTCTTCCTATATGCCCATCCCTGGTGAATGGTACCTCTAACACCTATAATAATCTGTAAGCCAGAAACCTAGGTTGATCTTTGATCTCCCCATTTGACTTCCTGTCTAGTCCACCAAATACCCAATTAATTCTATATCCTAAGCATCTTTAAAACCTACTCCCTCTCCATTTCCCTCTGCCTTATACTTTATGAGGCCATGCAGTTATTTCCTCAAGAACTTTACCCAACCGATTTCTACACATCCTGGGCTTTCTCCCTCCTATCTACTCTTTTCTAAAATCCAGTATCAGGTTTATAAAGTGCAATTTTATTGTAAATTGTTACTTTTAAAATTGAAATATTTAAATGAGTCCAAGGAGCCTCCAGATAAGTCCCTTGTGAATGGCCCCTGTTTGCTTTTCCTTCTGACACAGGCTCTAGGCAGGCTGAGATTGGCTTTTCCTGAGTTCACAAATGCCCCGTGCTCTCTCTCACTTCAAGGATTTTGTATAACTTCATTCTGATTAAAGTGATTTCAACCCTCTCTACCAGGTCAGCTTCTTCTTTCCTTTAGTTTTCAGCCAAAATGTCTATTACTGTGGGCAGCATGTGCCTTTCTCACCAATACTTGATTGACCCATGCTTCTAATTTGCCCCAATATGACCCTTTGTATTCTATGATCACGTATCACACTTCTCTGTATACCGGTCTTGGTTTTGTAAGAAACTGGGGGACTTTTAAAAAGATTGAATCTTCCCTACCCTTTGTTTTTTCCCTCAGAGATTGGCAGGAGTAGATATTTGATTTTCTTTAATAATATTTATTTTATTATATAAAAATGAATGAATCATGAAAAATATCTTAATAAATAACAACTTTAAATCCTTTTTAGAATAGTTCTTCAGCCTGACCAGGAAGCTCAGTGATGTCAATGGAAATATTCAAAATAGTCTAACAACACAGGTTCTTTGGCAAACATTGTGAATTCACTTTTGCAGTAAGAAAGACCAGAGCTGAAATCTCTGCTCAGGTGTTACTTGTGTTGTTAATTGTTTCTGATCTATGGAAACAAGGTGAGAGAGCAGAAAAGAAATCCCTCACTACCCCTCCTTGCCCTGCAAGTATATCCACAGCTATATTCAAAACAAACATGACCACTTACAATGTATTCCTTGAATTGAACCTTCTAAGGGTAATCAGTTAATTCCAGGATTTTAATAATAAAACAATCACTAAGATTTAAAGTATTAAAAGTGTTCTTCTGATCCAATTGAGGCATGTATAGTAAGTAATCATTCCTTTCCATCTTCATAATCTTTGACCTTTGAGAAAACATGCAAACTGAACATTACAAAGAACTACTCCTGCAGGAGTTAATTAAGCCTTTCAAAGCCCATTAGAGATAAGTGTTTGCAGACGTTGTGTCTTGGTTTTACTGTTGAGTCTTGAAAGCTTGTACACTCTTGCTGTCAGACGCTCAGAATAGGTTTTGGCTTCATTGAGGAAAACAAAACAAAACAAATGAAAACACTGTCACCAGGGTATAGCCACATTTTCTTGGTTAATTTAGGCCAACTGTAGGTGACATTTTGTTTCTTCCAGTTAATTCAATCAAGAAGAATTGTGGGTGAATATAGCTGGTGACCCATGACATGCACAGTGTAAATGGTGCATGTGATTACAGATCAGAGACCATTTCTTGCTTGGGAAACAGTAGATATCGGAGCCCATCAGTTAAGATTCCAGTTAAGATAGGTAACCTTGTGTATGAGAGTTAGCTATTCTGTTTTACGACTACAGTAAAGGGGCATTCAACTGCCCAGAATATTCTTTTATTTGCTAATAGATTCTAAACACCCTCTACTTTAGGAGAGAAAAGAGATACCTTTGCTTCGATACATACCATAGGCTGGAACCTATGACTCAAATGACTCCACTCATGGCACTACTGTTGGTTTTTCCCAAGAACAACCTTTGGTATGGCAAGAAGTTCAGAGGCATGAGGTTACATTTGAGAAATATAAGAAAGAGGGGAAAGGGGTCAGAAAGGAGATTGTGATAACTAACTGCTGTGCTAGTGACCTTGTGATGGCATTTCTTCATCTCGTGGAATATGGAATCTATTCGCCAACGTCTTTTGAGGTTGCATATAAAATGACCAGCACTTAGGTGTCTTAAATTTACCTAGTTCTGAGCTAGGCGTGGAGAGGGAAATGAAAACGAACACATAACACACAGGACTTCATATCTGTGAGACTTGCCATGTCTTTGAATGCATGCTACTCTTAAGAAATATGACACTATTGAAAGACTGAAAAATATGTTATCTTTTTGCCTATTTGTTTATTTGACATTTATTCATTGAGACCCTTCTAAGTGGAAAGCACTGTACAGGCATCTAATATAGAGGGTGGACACAAGATTGTGTGGTTTAGAGGGGAGCTACATTAGGAAAATACATACCAAAGGGAGTGGGATTTGGACAGCTTCAGGTAGAACTGTTGGTTGAGGAAAGGAAGACATGAATAAGAGACAAGTTTACACATAAAATAGAAGCTTTTAAATTCTTCCCATGGGCCATTTGGGTTGGAAAGATTTGAAGAATGAGTATGAGAGGAGAGGTCACTTTTTCCAGCTAAACAAATATTTTTTATTCCCTGAAATTACACAGAGGTTTTTAATTCTTTATTTTGATAATTACTGAGTAGTTAGTTGTTTTTTTCAAACATTCATTTACTCAAGTATTGACTCTTTTGTTTTTCCATCATGTTTTCATTGTGGAAAGATGAAGAGCTTTGAAACAAGCCTTTGAAATATGCTTTGCCTCTGAGTTGTAAAAGCATGGACAAGTTATTTAAATCCTCAACACCTTAGTTGATTCCTCTGAAAATGGAAAGAAGAATAATACCCATTTTCAGGGTTTGTGAGCATTAAATGAACTAGTGCTTTGTTTAAAACACAATGATGTTCTTGATGCATAATTGCGGCTCTGAAAATTATGGGAATATCTGAATCTTACTGTCAAAGGCACTGTAATCTACTTGGGACAACAAGATGTTTACATAAAAACGTGGGAATTGAATGATAGGGCTGGAGAATAACAGGCTTATTATTAAAAGTGATGATTGCAGGTGATCAGTGCAATGTTATCAGTGAGAAACTGGTCTTTGTCAAGAAAATGGGGGCAAAAAAAGGCAGGGAAACCTGTACAATCTGTGGCCATAAAGACAGATTTTAGAGTCTTTGAATGGAAGGGAGCTCATTTGTTTTCATCTTGGCTTTTCTTTTCTTTTGTCCTTGATCCTAAGGCTTGAACTTTAAGTAGTTTCAACTTAGTTCAAATTTCATAAACATTTCTTTTCCCACCCAGTATATGCCACCTCTTGGCCTAGTGCAGATGGCTTGAGCCAGAGAATGGCCATTGAAAGTATTTATCAGGCTTTTAATAACAAACATGCCCCTTCATGAAGATGCCAACATCTGAAAGAAAAATTTTAAAAAAATTTTAAAAAATTTACAAAAAATGCCAAGAGATCACAGACAAGGGTGTTCTCAGCCTGTGGCTGCTTTAAAGCTCAATATACAAACAGAATATTACAAATCATTTTTCTCTCTTTTTTTCGTTGTCCTCCTCCTTCATTCTCTCTTTTCCTTCTCTCCTTTCAATTCTTCCTTTTCAGCAAAGACATATTTTTCCTAAAGTCTAAGTAACATTTCAAAAGGTAAAACGTTTGTATCAGATTTATGTTCCACACTGTTGAGCACATATTAAACAAAGCCCAATATATAAACATATTAATTCAAGAACCAAGCCAATTAATATGAATCATTTGCATAGAAGAAATATTGTTGTATTTGTCAAGGAGACTTCATAATATTTCTTTTAATTGGAATTTTCCCCAGCACATTTAAAATGTGAGTTCCTTTTCAGTAATTTCTGTATTTTTTTAGGAAGACACCTGTTTTGTGAAAGAAGACACACCTGCAAGTCCAATTTCAAATGTTAATGTAGTAAACATGAATTACTGAGGAAAAGAAAATATATCCTAAATTATTATATTCCAATCTTTCATTTTTGTTATCAGAGGCATTTGAAATAAAGTGCCTTACCTCCAATATCATTTCAGAAGTCACTTTTCTATTATTTTGACATGCAGGACAGTTTCCCAGGTTTCAACTCATGAGTAAATGATTCAATGTGACTTGTCTTCATCACAATTGAACATTATCATAAAACTATTATTCAAATGCCCTGAACAAAGATTTCTAATCTTCAACAAAAGACATACAGTTAACTACCATTTTTGACATCTTAAAGAATTAATCAAGATTTTCTAAGTGCCAAAAGATGCAGAGGTGGAATGGTTTTTAAAGTTTCTTTTTCAGTCAGTGAAGTAAATTGCTGACTCTTCTCTTTTAACTTCCAAGAAAATTTGCAAACTGAACAGATAGTACATGCCTTAAAGTCTAAAGACTTATCTTGGAATATGAAATGGTTGCAAGAAAAAAAAAGTAATTACTTCATGCAGATAACTCCATCGAATAATCCTAGGTGGTTGATCTGGAGTTATGCTAAGATAGGAGAATTGGGATCTGTTAGGGAAATTATAAAATGAATTTAAAAAGGAATAGTAAGAAAGGCTATTTTAGAGTTTAAAAATAATGAATTTGATCTGAACATAAAGTTTTGGATGTTAAAACTTGAACCCTTGAGGGATGGATAAAGTCAATTCAAATCTGCCTATGATGGAGTAATCTTGGATAAAAATGGTAGAAGAATCAGATTTTTCTACTGGGACAGGCAGTCCAGCATCTGTTAAATGTCGTGGCAGTATTTCATTTTCTTTGACCTCTGGGGCTTCACAATTGCTGTTTTTGATGCCAGAAATACTCTTCTTTCTCCTCTTCTCATAACTAACTCTGCGTTATCTCTCAGCTGTCTGTTTGAATGCCCAGTAACAGATTTCTGCCACCTTCCACTTCCAAACATGACTACCTTAGGGTCTACATGCTGTGCCTAAGAACATCTTTTATTTCTCTTTCTCAGCAGTTTGTTCACTTATCTAAAACTTATTTTTAATTAATATCATTGTATCAGGTATCTATTCTTACTGTGGACAAGGGTTGAGTTTGTCAGGTACATTGGCATGAACTTAGCATCTGACACAACGGAAGTAGCTCACGGAGACATATACAATTTTGCTCTTTGACCAATTGGAAGAAATTAAAATTTTAATTAGTCTTAATAATGAGCCTGTTATTCTCCAGCCCTGTCATTCAATTCCCATGTTTTTAACTAATCATCTTGTTGTCCCAAGTAGATTACAGTATCTTTGATGGTGGGATTAAGATATTCCCACAATTAAAACTAATCGAAACTAATTAAAAATTAGTTGAGTAAATCACACACATATACTTTCACGTTTATTTGAAGAACATATATTTCAAGGTTCAGCTTCTGACCAGTCTCATCGGGACATACTGACAATAGCAGCCAATCAGCTATCACAGAAAAAGCATATTCAAACACCAAGGCCATAGCTAAGTAAGCCAGGCTTTGCGGTTAAAAAGTAAAATTAACTGGACTCACATCAAAACTTCATTCCACCCACTATTGAGTTGATCAGGTAAAGAGGAGCTTGTTCCAGGCCTGCTGATATCATGGAGGAGGCTGCTCCATCTGAGCTCCTCTGCCTCGGAAAGGCCACGTACCACTCACACAGTCATGGAAGGAGCACTTGAGCACCTGCTCTGGGGTAAAACTTTCCTTTCTCAGCCTTTGGGTTGTCCTTTGCTATGTATGAGGCTGAATTTTAAAGTTATACTCAGATATAAAAACTAAGGTGAAAAAGAACTGACTTTCCCAGGGTCCCAGCATCAGAAATGTGCTCAGCTGCCTCTTTGAGACACGTTTGCCCACCTACCCCAACATACTCAAGGTCAGCGCTGCTGGTGACTCAGATATAATGTGCTCTAAATGGCAGCATAATTTGGGGATCACATTCTCCTCATAGTGTTGTCCGCCTTTACTCTTTAAAAAAAATATATAAAAAATTTTAAAAAATCATCAACCCATAATGGCAGAATTTCTTTTGTTGTTAGAATATTGCTTTCTTTGCTATAGTTTTTGACAAAAGAACCACAGTTCTCCTTTGATCCATCTTTGATTTTCATCTGCTTTGGAAAAATGATTGTTTTACTTAATAGTTTACTTTTATTACTTTATTAATGAATTTGAGCTTTCCCTTCCTTAGACTCCTCTAAGCTAAGCTACCAACCTCGCACGTTGAGAATGACTCATTTTTGAAAGTAAAAATAAATGCATGGATCCATTTCAAAAATGATTCCAGAAGAATGTCATGCTTTTCTATTGTTTCAAATGCCATTTAACTTCTGTGACTTTGCATAGCGATCTCTTTAAGGCTGTTTCTTTTTCTGAAGTTGATGAAATTATTAGTTAATTAATCTAGTGACAATTTATGCAAATAAAATTAAATTCCTAAATGTGAAACATAAAAGCTAATATTAATAAAAAAGTAGAAGAATGGGTCTTTGTATGAACAAAATGAAAAAGATCTAAAACACACACAAATTATATATATATCAAAATTAAAGAAGCCTCATCAACAAATGGTAGCAGAGGAAAATTAACACAAGGATGACAACTGAGTGGTGGCAATTGCAAAGTATAAAATTGGGAAGATGTTATTATCTAGAAAAGGCAAAGGACAACACTAAATAAGCCAAAAAAAGGTAAAATCTCCAGTTGAAAAATTGAGCAAATAATATGAAAGGAAATTCAAAGAGAGGAACATCCAAATGACTAACAAAAACATGAGACAACGCTCAACCTTTTAGTAACCACAGAAAAGTAATTAAAACATTGAAACACCCCTTTGCATACTTCCAGATGGTAAAAGTCAAAAGCCTCAAAACATTAAGGGCATAAGATAGTGTGGCAACTTCCATGCACTACTGGTAAGAGTATAGACTGGTATAGCCATTCTAGTAGGGCTTATTGAAATTGAATATGTGCATCTGGGGACCCAGCAGGACTTCACAGAAAATCTTAGATTCATAGCAAGACACTTTGAAGTAAAGGGCTGAAAACATGATTATTGGTATATAAAATGTGTACTATGCATCGCCCAGAATATATTTTAATGCCAAGGATCATATTTACATAAACTAGTGTGGATAGCTCCCAAGAACATAGAAATTAATGAAAAAAAAGCTGAAAAACAGCATGAGAATTACAGCACAATGCCATTTATATTGATTTTGAAAACCACACACATTACTACATATAATTTTAGTGTTTTAATTTTTTAAATAATATACAGAAATTTATAGAGAACAAGATAATATTCATTTATCCTTCTCTGACATAAAATTAATATTTTATATGAATTCTCTCAGATGAGTTTTCAAGTTAAGGAATATCAGATTTATATTTTCCAAGGAAATATCTATATCTAAACATATGGAAGGCAGGCATGAAGACATAATCCATATACTTGGAGAGAGGCATATAGCATAATGAGCTTGCTGAGGGGACATGAAAACACAATAGATGCAGTGACTTTACTTGGACTGATAACTATTGTTGGGGTGATCAGACCCAACACCATGTCATAGGGGCAACAAAGTTCAGCGGAGTCAAAGGATTGAGAAAAAGACAGTTTGAGAAGTAAAGTGGGACCAGGGGGCCATCGCTAGTGTATAGAGGCTGCAAAGGCCCAGGGCTCTGGAAGCCCAGACTATTTATTGGTGATCAAACAAAGAAACAAATGGTGAGAATGTGGGGGTCGAAAGGGCGCATTGAATTAAGTACATGATTTACATCTGTGATGGTTTAGCATATGCTCTGCTACTTGAGATAATGGGGACCAGGTTCTTTTAACTCAAGATACGATCAATCCTGGGAGAGCAAGGAGCAAGGAGCCAGCAAATCTATTCCAGAGCCATGAGCCCTGGATTCTATCCAAGCCACGAGGGATTTTATGCCCTGGGCTTAGATTATGGTGCGTCAGTATAGCCTTCCATATTTTGGCACAGAGCTTGGTGTTTCAAAGGTCACAAGGGATTTTAGATCCTGGACCCCGGACATGTTCCAAGACTCTTTTACATTATGTCAGACATGCAAGCCCTGCCTCTGCTTCTCCAACACACAGCTTTTCTCCCAACTATTATAGCGTATTATTGACTAATGAATATGAACATTTCAATTGTATGCACCTGAGGTTCAGAAAGATGAGCAAACAACATAGAAATAAAAGCCGTGTGTATGTTGGTGTGTGTATGTGTGTGCAAGCCCATTGGTGGCTTTTTCTTCTTCTTCTTTTTGTTTTTGCTTCAGGTCATTTCCATGCCTATGTAAATCTTTTCTGAAGTTTCTGTGAGTTTTCTCTTGCCTTCCAACTTGTGAGGCTTGTAATCAGACCCTTCATTTAGTATCTAGAAAAGCATGGCCTGGAACTCACTTCCTCCCCACCAGCTTAATATTCTGATTACAATCTTGCTTGCCTTTCCAAGGTTGGTTCACAGTTGTTTCCCGAAATGTTATCTCATCACTCCAGTTGAAAGCAACATTTTCAACCTGGATCTTTTTCATTCCTGATTTCATCTTCTTGGCCTTCTCATTCAGACACGTTTACCTTTCTTATCATCTCCTTTATTCTCTGCTATGTTAGCTCTAACCTTGCTCTTCTGTAATTCAGGATTATATTGCTCTTAAGACCAAAGGGCCTTTCACTATTTCAAAGAGCATCTCATTTACTCCTGATGGAAATGTGAGTTCCTTACTGTATATCCTATCTCCCTCTCCTTTTCCTTTCCACAAACATGCAGGCTTTTCTTTTAAATAATCAGAGACCTCTCCTGAAAGGCCAGATCAGCTTTAACAAGGTAGAGGAAGGTATTTTCCATGTTGGGACAGTAAGCTCCAGGAAGAGAATGAAGCTTGAACTGGCTGTGGGAGATGATCTAATGTTTGCTAAGACATTGCCACACAGAAAAGGGGAGATCATTCTAGTGATTTTTTCTTTTTTTTTTTTTGAGACGGAATTTTGCTCTTGTCACCTAGGCTGGAGGGCAATGGTGTAATCTTGGCTCACCGCAATGTCTGTCTCCCAGGTTCAAGTGATTCTTCTGCCTCAGCCTCCTGAGTAGCTGGGAGTACAAGCATGCACCACCATGCCCAGCTAATTTTTGTATTTTTACTAGAGACGGGGTTTCACTACATTAGCCAGGGTGGTTTCAAACTCCTGACCTCAGGTGATCCACCTGCCTCGGCCTCCCAAAGGGTTGGGATTATAGGTGTGAGCCACTGTGCCCAGCCTAGTGAAATTTTTAGAAATGGAATTAGTGAGTTAAAGGCAATTAATACATTTAAGCCTTTTTAAAATAGATATTGACAGATGACTTCTCAGTAGGGTTTATAAGTAATTTATACTCCCATTTATGTTAATGTAAATGTGCCTCTTTCATCTTCCGCCAACAGGCATTGCTTCTGTGTATTAAATTTAAATAATTTCTAATTTGTTAGATTAAAAAGTGTGTATTATTATTATACTATTTTTTATTTATTTGATTCCTCATGGGGGTGAACGTCTTTCTTTCCATGTGTTTGTTAAAGTGTTCTATTCCTATTTTGAGGAATTCAGTTTTTTGTCCATTGCTCATTTATTTACTGGTGTCTTTATATATTTATATAAAGAATTTAGCACTTTATTGCATCTGGAGTATGTTCTGAGAAATAGACTAATAGCAGGATTCATATGTTTTAAAATTCCATTTCTATTACCCTAGCTCTTTTTATTGTTCTTATCCTTCTACTCTGATTGGGGATGACATATTTATTGCATAATAACTTATTTTATATGTCCTTAGATTGGCTTATCACTTGCATATAACAGAATTTCTTTTGCTGATAGGCAAAGGACTCCTTTTTCGATGGAGTTTATTTAAAGGTAATAATGGAAAATATCAAATCTGGAAATATCTTAAAACTGGTTTATATTTTTCAAAATTGTGTTCTATTTCTGTCTCCTTATTTTTTCATGCACAGTAAGTAACTGAAGAAGTATTCTGCTTATTGATTTTATATCTTGGCAGAAAATTTAATATATTTCAGAAGAAAGTACAGGAAAATAAATAAGTTATAACCACCCTCATCTTGTGGTAAAGAGTGTATTAACCAGATTCACATACGTGTTTGAATTGTAAGTGTTAATGAACAGAACTGGGTTTTCTAAATAAGCATGCTTCACACTTATGTTCATTTATTAATTCATTCATTCACTAATTTCACAAATGTTACTTGCCAGGGTTTGTAGTGTTTATAAAATATGTAATGGTTAATATATCCTCTTCTCTTCTCCATTTTGGGTTTGTTTTTTGTTGATGGGTGTACCAGTAAGTAGGATCTAAAAGGAAATACAGATTAATTCAATGTAATGAAACATATTTAAATAAATGTGCATAGACATGTAGCTACCTTGGGAAGCAAGGTGACCATTCCAAAATGCATAAAGAGATTTCCAATGTGTACAGACCTGAGGACCACAAGCAGTAATCATCAGTGAACAGTGCAGGATTGAGAAGGTGACCCAGGACTAAAAAGGGGCAAATGCCATTTTCATATTCATTTAAAAGGAGAAGCAGATGAGTTTTATGCCAACTCATGGCATGATTTTATTTTATTTATTTATTTTTAATTTTACTATAAGTTCTAGGGTACATGTTCACAACGTGCAGGTTTGTTAGATATGTATACATGTGCCCTGTTGGTGTGCTGTACCTGTTAACTCATCATTTACATTAGGTATATCTCCTAATGTTATCCCTCCCCCTCCCCCCACCCCCCAGCAGGCCCTGGTGTATGATGTTCCCCACCCTGTGTCCATGCGTTCTCATTGTTCAGTTCCCACCTATGAGTGAGAACATGTGGTGTTTGGTTTTCTCTCCTTGTGATAGTTTGCTCAGATGATGGTTTCCAGCTTCATCCATGTCCCTATAAAGAACATGAACTCATCCTTTTTTATGGCTGCATAGTATTCCATGGCATATATGTGCCACATTTTCTTAATCCAGTCTATCATTGATGGACATCTGGGTTCGTTCCAAGTCTTTGCTATTGTGAATAGTGCCACAGTAAACATATGTGTGCATGTGTCTTTATAGCAGCATGATTTATAATCCTTTGGGTATATGCCCAGTAATGGGATGGCTGGATCAAATGGTATTTCTAGTCCTAGATACTTGAGGAATCGCCACACTGTCTTCCACAATGGTTGAACTAGTTTACAATCCCACCAACAGTGTAAAAGTGTTCCTATTTCTCCACATCCTCTCCAGCACCTGTTGTTTCCTGACATTTTAATGATCGCTATTCTAACTGGTATGAGGTGGTGTCTCATTGTGGTTTTGATTTGCATTTCTCTGATGTCCAGTAATGATGAGCATTTTTTCATGTGTCTGTTGGCTGCATAAATGTCTTCTTTTGAGAAGTATCTGTTCATATCCTTTGCCCACTTTTTGATGGGGTTGTTTGATTTTTTTCTTGTAAATTTGTTTAAGTTCTTTGTAGATTCTGGATATTAGCCCTTTGTCGGATGGGTAGATTGCAAAAATTTTCTCCCATTCTGTAGGTTGCCTGTTCACTCTGATGGTAGTTTCTTTTGCTGTGCATAAGCTCTTTAGTTTAATTAGATCCCATTTGTCAATTTTGGCTTTTGTTGCCATTGCTTTTGGTGTTTTAGTCATGAAGTCCTTGCCCAACTCATGGCATTATTTTAAAACTGTAGAAGACAATGGCCTTTGAGCCCCTAGAATAGAAAAAATACTTCCAGAAGCCAAAATGGGCTAAGCAGCAGTCATGTCCAAATTGAAGTATTTTTTCTTTCCTTTCTAACTTAATGCTAAGGCTTATAATTCAAGAAAACGCAACAGACATAACACAAGTATTTTCATTTCTTTGTAGATTAAGTGTAGAGACATTGTGTGGCTACAAAGGAAAAAAATAAATTATTAGCTGGTAAAATGTATGTTTGAAATGAGCTTAGAAAATTATGAACTAGAGAGATTGCTAAAGGCCAGCAGGATGCTGTTGAATACTTTTTCCATTTTAGCATTTTTATCAGTAATTTGAGTGGCAATACTAACTTGAAAGCTAACAGACTTTCCAAATTGTCGGATGATATTGTGTAAATCATCATCAGTTTTGTTCATTATTTAATTATTTATTTTAGAAATCCTAAGTGGAATGAAAAGAACCAAATGTAATGATGTGATATTACTAAGAATGTATGAGAATAAAAATTTAGATCTGAAAAATCTAATTATATGAATATGGGATGGGGGGAGGCTTGATTTATTAGTTATCCATCACTGTATAACAAATTTAGTCTAAAACTAGCAGCTTAAAACATGAAGTTTTATATTCTCACACAGTTTCTCAGAGTAGAGTAGTTTGGTGGTTCTGCTTTCTAAGGTCATATTCAAGGCTTAATGGGGGCTAAATATTTTGTTGCTCAGATGACTCATTCACATGGCTCTTGGTGATGAGAGGCCCTGTTTCTCATTGTTTGGGCTTTTCCATTAAGATGGTATGTCCTCATGACATAGCAGCTGACTTCTTCCAAAGTAACGGAGTCAAGAGGGAGCATAGCAGATATCACTTATAACCTAGCCTCAGAAGTGATAAACTTTCACTTGTGTTGTGTTGTACATCACATAGACCAACCCAATCATCGTGCAATGTAGCAGGAAGCTACAGGATGGCTTGAAGCCAGAAGGGATCCTTGGGCCTGCATTGGAGCCTGGCCACCACACATGACTTGCTGTAGTGCTGTAAAAATGGTTTGGGGATTTTTTTGGGTTTTGTTTTTGGTTTGTAAACAGTGTAAATTATTGGTATGATGTAGCTGCCACAAAAGTTTATGTGATATAAACTTTTCACAGCCATATCATGGCTGTGTCCCCACACAACTCTCATCTTGAATTGTAGTTCCTACATTTCCCATGTGTTATGGGAGGGACCCAGTTGGAGGTAATTGAATCATGGGGGCAGGTCTTCATGTGCTATTCTCGTGATAGTGAATAAGTCTCATGAGATCTGATGGTTTTATAAAGGGGAGTTCCCCTGCACAAGTTCTCTTGTCTGTTGCCAAGTAAGATGTGCCTCTCGTCTTCTGCCATGATTGTGAGGCCTCCCCAGCCATGTGGAACTGTGCTCTTTTTCTTTATAAATCACCCAGTCTCAGGTATGTCTTTGTTAGCAGTGTGACAACAGACTAAAACAGGTGGCATCAAATATACACATGCACACACAAACAAACATACACACACATATTATCCACTGTGTACTAGTAAAATTATAGATGTGATAAAAAATGTATGAGACATGTATATATATTATATATATGAATATATTCATAAGGAAAAAGTTAGGGAAATTTAAAAGTACAAAATATAAAATGGAGGATCGGCCTTGTATTCTTAGCCTGCATAAAAGATCCTGTGCAAGAGATTCAAAAGGCAATAATCAAAGAAGCATGATGTGAAAAAGGGAGTAGACTTGCTTTGTGTCTTTACAACAGGTGGGGACATTCATCAATATGAAGAACACATTGGAAAGAAAACATATGCTAAATGAGGGAAAGCTTGTGTAAAAAAAATGGAAAACTACTGAATTCTTTATCACTGCTTCTACTTATGGAAAAATAGGATAGCACTTGGTTAAGATATCAATAAGTATGTTTGAGAGGGATTTGAGCATTGAATGGATTATTCATTCCTTTAGTCATTATTTCAGAAGAGAGTAAATGATCGTCTACTCACTATACACTGAGAGTTGTTTTTAAGGTCTGGATTGAGAGGTTGGTGAATGAGCAGGCAAGATCCTGTTCTTACCAGGTTTTTCTCTGATTGTGAAAAATATACAATAAACAGGTAAACTAATGCAAAAATAAGTTTACTTCACTGAAATAAAGCAAGCTAAGATAACAGAGTGTGATAAGGCATTTGTGGATAGTCATGTAAGCTAGTGGTCAGGGAAGACTCCTCTAGGGAAATGAACATTAACACATTTATGCCGGAGGTTGAAATTTTTTGTTTGTGAAAAATCAGACCTTGGCGATGACTTTGAGCAGTAGGATATAAATAATTCCCACAAGTTTAGTGTTCCAATAGTGGAACACTAGGCATAAATTGGTTAAACCAAAGATCTGAATGGTGGAAGGATCCAGCTATGTCATAATGCAGGGAAGGAGAATTTCAGGCGGAAGGAACCATAAATGTAAGGCCCATTGGTTGGCTTAAGGGTAGTGTGTTCTATCTGCAAAAGGCGACCTCCCTGATTAGATCATCACAAGTGATGGGGGAAGGTGGGAAGACTCCAAGAAAAAAAGGTAATATCAGGTGGAAAGTCTATCACTTGTAGATAATGGTAACGAGCTTAAATTTTATATTAGTATATTCTAAGAAATATATAGGTTTTGACATATTCTGCTTTGCACTTTATAAAATCATTTTGTTTGCTTTGTGGATTAAAAAAAGGCTATACTAAGGGAAACAATTAGGTGAAAGTAGGAAAAACAATAAAAGGCTATTGAATTGCTCTAGTTTGGGAGAAAAGAGATGCTGTCAAATTATTTGTTGACACATCTTTGGGAACAGATTTTGACTGGTTCCTGGGAATACAGAGACAGAAAAATAAAACTCACACTTAAAAAAATTATTCTAGGCTTTATTCCTCTGTTACATGGGTGTATTGCATAGTGGTGAAGTTTGGGCTTCTCACGAATCTACGTCCCAAACAGTGAATATGGTACCTCATAGGTAGTTTTTCCACCCTCACACCTTGCCCTCTCTCCCTCCTTTTAGAGTCCTCAATGTTTATTACTTCCATCTTCATGTCCATGTGTACCCATTTCTTAAAGAACTGAAAATAGAAAAATCATTTGACCTAGCAATCCTACTATTGGCTACCCACCCAAAGGAAAATTAAAAAATTTATCAAAAAGACACCTGTCTTTGTATGTTTATCACAGCACTATTTATAAGAGCAAAGTCATAGACTCAACCTAAGTGTCCATCAATAATTAATTGACTAAAGAAAATGTGACATTTATATTCACCATGGAATACTATGAAGCCATAAAAAAATAATGAAATCATGTCCTTCACAGCAACATGGTTGGAGTTGGGGTTCATTATCCTGAGTGAAATAACTCATACTTTTATAAACCACTCTGCCTATAGAGATGGTTAGGCATGCACAGCTGTGAGACAACTCTGGTAGTTGATGGTGAGATGGAGAAAATGTTGACAGAGCTGAACAAAGACTGAGTAAGCAACAAGGTACCATACAGAATTCATTGGCCTGAAAGCTGCACAGATAACCTTTGAGCTCCTATTCAAATATGAGATTCTGTGATTCTACTAAAGCTTTCAAAAGACTTCCATTTGGTTCTGAGTTTGACAGCTTAGGGTTGTGAGACCTACCTTTCTTCCACATGGCCATGAAGAATGGGGGATTGGATATATTTTTGGATGCTGGAGGAACAGTGATTTATCTTCCCCTCACCCATGTGTCGTGATGGTTAAGCTCTGATCCTGAATGAGGCCACTGTAAGACAACTTAGGGTGAGGTACATTACATAGTGTCTCTTTTTCAGAAGCTAAGTCTAAGGCTAGTACTCTGTGTTACTGATCAATTCCTTTAATTCCTTTGGGTTCACTTTTTATTATCTGAAAAACAAATAATAACCTGTTCAACTCTAATGCTCGTTCTACTCATGTCACAAAGGTGTTGAGATGACAGAAATTATCATCACTGCAGACAAACTTTGAAACCTAATTGAAATCTGTAGAAAAGTGGATAGCTATTTGAGAGATGAGACAAGGGAACAGCCATCTGAGAGACCTTGTTTCTACTTAATGCTCAGTTAGAATAAGCTGGACTTCTAGCTGGATATCACGTTTGGTTGGCCACACACACTGACCTTTCTGTATGTTGACTTTTTTTTTTCCACTGCCCTGAGACAAGCATAAGTCTCCCTGGGGGAGTGAGAAAGGGAAATGGAGCATGAAGACAGAGTTAGTCTTTTTAGCACAGATCACCAGGATTTCATATTTGCAAAGAGGTCGAAGTCATTTATGTTAATTTCCTCTCCATGCCTGTGATGGGTGTGCACTGCTACCCTCATTTATAGATCAGAAAACCAAAGATAGTAAAATCAAGTAACTTACACTTGGTTTCACAGCAAATGAATCGCAAAGCTGGGGAAAGGATCCTGGGTCAGACTGTGGTTTTAAAACCTGGGACCCAGCAGCATCTGAGAAAGTAGACGCAATATTCTCTCACTTAATAATCACCTGTGAGTGGTTTTGACAATATAAGGCTTTCTAGCCCTTGAATAGACTTTATTATGAAATACATCTATTTTTTCTTTCTTAGGGTTGGGTTTTTCCCATTTTATACTCGGATTGTCAAGTATACAGCCTGACTTTTTTATGCAAGTACACTGATGATATTAGGTCCTATTTAACTCATAAAGCAACATATTAGGCAATAACTATGAGTCTGAGGCAAAACTCATGAAATTGTAGGGGCAGAAATCAGCTGATAGACTGATATTTCACAGAGACCAAGGATAATAAAACACTGATTTTAAGAATGCATGGATAACACTGTTTCCCAAACTATCTTCCATGGAACCTAAATCTATGCTAATAAAAAACAAAATACAGAAGTTTTAAAAAAATAAGATGGTGCATTTCTAATCAAATAAATTTGACCTTTACTACAGGTCTTCTGGATGCTTTTAAAATGATAATTCCTTACAATATTGCATACTACATTCCATTCTTACAGTAAGAATGGAATGTAGTATGCAATATTTCTCAAACTTATTTGGAAATGAATATTTTTCTTTTTTTTTCTTTGACTGACACGAAACAGGACTATGTTTCATAGATCGGTTGGGAAATACTGAAATGTAATTTTTCCTGTCTTGACTCCTTAAATAATTTTGTTAGTATTGATCTCAATTTTTGCTTACAAGGTTGGATTTCCAGCTTCCCCCAGAAAAGACCTCTCTTGCTACGTTAATCTGTACATCATTCCTCTATTTTCTAACTCCAAGCTCTAATTCGTGGACGAGTGGGTAGTTTCTGCCCACCCTTTCCTGGTGCCTGCTTGCTCAAGCCTATTTTGACTTTGTTTTTCTCTTTCTCTTACTTAAGTGATACGTATAATGTTGTTTTCTCAGAGGGCATGTTGTTGCATATCTGAAGAGGCTCTGTCATGCAGAATTTCACATTTACGTAGGAATTGAATGCATATACCAAAATGATGATCACATAGAGTGACTTATCTTACATGTACTACTTGAGGCACAGAGAAGAGAGGCAGGACGTTCAGAGGAAGTAGGAAACTTGCAGTCAGAAATCAGGGACCAGTTCTCAAAAAGAGTCTTTAACCATAATGTTAGTTTAGAAAAAGATAAAATGGCGTTTCGACAGATACATGCCAGGTGAGAAGGGAGGAATATGGCCAAAATTGTTCAATTCCTCTTTGGGAGAAGAAACTGGAAGTTGTGCTGATGACACTAGAGCCTTGTCCGTAACTGCATTATCTTCTTACTCCAGGAGCCCAAAATGTGAGTGGAAAAAATAAGGGTGCCCAGTCAAGGTGGCTACATGGAGTCTTCTGTGCTCTGCCATAGATTATCATGGGAAGAACTCAAACCATAGAAAACAGGAAGTCTGGAAAGCTGAATCCAAATTGTTAAAACTCCTTGGGGCCCCCTGGAATTCTAGGTTGAACTGAGAGTTTTAGTAAATTTTCCCAAAGTTAAAACAAAATGTCTCAAAAGCTTTCAAATTTTACCTGAAATCTCAGAAGTGCCAAAATTGTCTTAAGAGAAGCTTCTGTTATGAACACCAACTCTTTCATGATTCCCTAATCCTGCTTTCCTTAAAGCAATTGAATAAAGAATGGGAAATGTATTTTCCAAATGTGAATATATCTGAATAGTAAATGTGAATATTTTTGAAATGTGAATAGTAAACTATGTAGAGATGAGGTCTTCTTAAAGCTCTGCACACAGTATGGGAAAAAAGCAGCTCGGGAGCTAGGGTGCTGAGCAGAGAAGAGTGAATGCAGCTGGCCTGAGACTGCCTCTCCTTAGAAAGGCCTTCTTACAAGGTCCATCTTTGACTGACTGGTGTCTGGTAACTTGACTGGTAAATAGTTGCTCACACTGATATTAAACATTTTCTGAATGGTCAGAGTGGCTCACTGTGCAGAAACCGTATAAACAATTTCTTTATACTGTATACCTGCTTTGTTTCTGTGCACTTGGCATTTTTAAATGTGTTATGCAGAAGGTGTCTATGTGAACATCCTGCAGTATAAAGCTTGGACGCTGAGTCTGTAATGTACTTCCCTGATAGACAACACTTCTTTTGTGTTGCCACAGCTCATTGCTGGTGAATTAAGTCCTGTGTGACTTCCACTGGCATAGACTGTTTTGAAGCTAGTGCTTTCAGCACAAGTGTCTTTTCCCATTGCTGTGCTTGCTTCATATCTGATACGGTTCGGCTGTGTCCCCACCCAAATCTCATCTTGAATTGTAACTCCCACAATTCCCAAGTGTCATGGGAGGAACCTGGTGGGAGGTGATTGAATTATGGGAGTGGGTCTTTCCTGTGCTGTTCTTGTGATAGGTGATAGTAAATAAGTCTCATGAGATCTGATTGTATTAAAAACGGGAGTTTCCCTGCACAAGCTTTTTCATTGCCTGCTGCCATCCATGTAAGACATGACTTGCTCCTCTTTGCCTTTCACCTGCCACCATGATTTGTGAGGCCTCTCCAGCCACATGGAACTATAAGTCCAATAAACTTCTTTCTTTTGTAAATTACCCAGTCTTGGGTATATCTTAATCAACAGCGTGAAAATGGACTAATACAGTATCCTTTCACTGTAATATGTCTTAGCTGTGAGTATAATGATGGTTGAATCCTACAAATCCTTCTAGCAAATTACCAGACCCGGGGGTGGGCTTGGAGATCTCTGGCACAGGGCCCCTCTCTGAATGTCTAGTCCAAGGACAAGACCATTCATGTTCTTCTCTTAAGATCACTTTCCTTTTTCATATGCATATGTTACCTTGTCTGATTTAGCAGAAACCCTAGGCCTCCAAAAATTAGTGTTCTATTTAGACATTTTCTCAAATTTCTAGATTCACCTGTGTTTCTCTCCTTCAATTTCTCCACCCCAACTGCAGCATATATTTTGTCTTTCGTTATAATCTGCAATGGAAGTGAAGAAGTTGTATTGAAAATACATACAAGCACAGAGAGACAGAAATTGAAAAAGATTGTGATATTCTTATATCTTCAGCTTATTTGGGAGCAAAACATTGTAAAATCTCTTGAGGCTATCTGCTATCCTCAGATGTAAGTCCAGATTTGTTGATTAGAGAGGTTTGTACCTCAGGGTGCTGAAAATAACTTCTAAACCTTTAGAAGTTTTCAGTGGGTTTGAATGTGAATGATGGAGGTTTAAAGCTGCCCATGGGGTCAGAAAGGCATGCACAGAAAGGAGATGCTTGAGCCATTCTCAAACACGCACACAGGACACACACGTTTTAAAGTTCTCACAACCCCAAGTTTTATCTGTAGAGAACAGGGGTTGTGTTGTAGCAAGATTGTAGGTCTCTGTTGTCATTGGTGGTATTGTCTTTGTGCTAGAGACATAGTATGAAGCTAATGTCACCCTTTGTGTGGGCAAAGGAAAGGGATGTCCGTGTATGCAGTGGGGTTTGGAAGGTAAGGCATCAGGGGCAGAGACTTTCCTGAAAGTAGTGACTTGCTGGGAGAGGGATTGTAGTCATACCCCCTATGCTGTCTCTTTGTTCTCTTCCAGCAACATACAGAGTGCTCTCATTCCATCTCAGAGTAGTCTTACTCATCTAGTGTCAGTGTGTCCAATATAGATCCATGACATTTGGGGCAGACACTGCCCTAACACAAATTGTAATTGCAGCCATTTGCTATCACTAGATGAAGCTCATTACCTTATGCAAGTCCATCCAGTTACAAAAAGAAAATATCTTTGGCCTTTGTAAAGAGATGAGAATATTTGCTCACAAGTGATCCTCCGTGATCTATTTAGGAATCTTATCAACAGTTGTGACTGTTATGTGAAATGATATCTGTGGGTGCACAACTGGAACAATAGGAATAATTATTTTTTCTTCTATTAGCTCCTGTAATGAGCAGTTTTCTCCAGAAAGCAGAGAGTATATCAAACTCCACACTGCCCTGGAATTTTAAAAAGCTAAATATGACTTCATTTATACTAAAATCTTTAATTTTCACTGGTGATTGAAACAGAATCAATAGATTTGAGTAACAAGGAAAAAAAGTATTTTCTTTCCAGCTACTGTAATTTCTACTCAGAGTATAATGGCTTTGAACTTTGCTAGGTAATCAAAAATATTAAATTTGCTTTGTCTAGTTTCTTTTAAGATTTAAATTTCTTGTTTATTTTAAATATTTATTGTCTAATTATTTGCATAAAATATGAGCTAAGATTAGATATGTTACGCTACAATATATTTTTCTAAGTTTCTAACAGTTTACTTAGCTTATCTTTAATGCCTCATTACAAATCTCATCAAGACTAATTTATTGGATGTCTTGATGGATTTGTTTTTGTAAATATGCTGGATTGTAAAAACATTGGTAGATTTCAGTTATTTCCAATTGTGTATAATATTTTAATATTCAAAATTCACATCCTTGCAGTAACCTGGTCATGTAGGAATCTTCCCTCTTATGCAGATGATGATATGGAAATTAATGGGTCTTGGTGGAAGGACCAAGGTTGATTTTTTTTTATCTTTATCACTCCTTTTTTCTTCTTTCTTACTTCCTGCAGCTGATTTAAGCATCCATACCTTGATACCTGTAGGACATAATACAGACAGTAGCCTTTGGAATATGTTGTGTATAGAGCAAACCTAATTTAGTGAGAAGTTTTAGTTCATGAACTCACTTATGATAGATAATTCATTCAAATGGCCGTTCCATGGAGAGAGTTTAGTCTACTATTTAGTTGGGTTTAGACTGATAAATGAACTTTGCCCCACCAAACTTCTCCCACTTTAAACCCCAGATCACACCTGTGATGTAGATGTTTGCCTTTGAGAAAATGGGAAACTATGGTCTGGTGGGTGCCTCCACTCTATCTGAGAAGGAACATGAGGACATGCAGCACCTCACACAGACTATCCTCACAGGTCTCAGGTGTCTGCCAAGGCTAGCCAAAGAAGCAAGTGTGCAAAACAAGAACTTCCTGGAAACTGCAATCTTTTTTGACAAATATTACATGGCAAAGCTAAATAAATTTAAGTCCTGAATAAATCCAATTGTCATTGACTATGGGAATACTAGTTTTGGAGAGATGGCATTTATGATACCTTTACTAAACATTATGAAAACCTTTAAACTTCAAATCCAAACTATGACCTTCAAGCAACATCCTACTTCCTTAATAATATGTTTAAATGTCAGTTAAATCATTCTGATGGTGAATCTTTAGAAAACTCTATTGTAATAATCAAATAGTCAAGTAATCCTATCCAGGACAAGAAAAAAGGATGACAAAGAGAAAGAAGGGAGGGGTAAGGGACAGCAACAAAGGCAGGAAAGAGAACAGATAAAAGAATGAGGGTAGGAGTTAATTGCTATGAATCCTGCATGTTTGTACATCTAAGTCTTTGTGCAAAAGGCTAGAATGTCCTGATGAACGTAGGGTGTGACCATTTGAAACAAGATCATTAAAATGATCACTCACCCCAAAATAACACCTTGTGAAGAGCCATATAAATCACCAGCTGCAGTGCTGCCAAATATCTCTGTCTTTGCATTGCTCTTATGGAACCATTTTAAATTAACAATCCCAAAAGGTGAAGATCATGTCTTTATTTAGCCAGCAGATGTTGGATAAACAGTTAGTTGTCCCAGTTTTGTGAGAAGTGCTGTGGAGACAAAATGTATGTATTCAAATCCCTTTTCTTGAAAAGATCATAGGGTAGTTAGGAAACTGACAATTAACTAACAGTTTAAATCCAGCTTCACATAGTATCAGAGAGGAATGGGTATATGAGCAAAGAGAGAGTCGACCAAACTAGCTAACAAAGGTTTCAGGAGGGTCTTGGAGATACAGGTGTCATTAAGAGAAACCTGTGCACCATGTTACGGGTTAAGAATATTAACCAAAGAGCCTCCAATAACTCTTGACATTAGTCAGAAATTAAATTGGAAAGGACACAGACTAGAGGTTGAGAGACGAGTGAGGAGGTTGAGAGGCAGTTCAGGAGAATTGTTTCTGGGAAAGAATAACTAAGGACCCAGGCCATGTTAGAAACAGTGGGTGTAGGATGCAAAGAAATTATTAAAGAAACACTGAGGAGATTGAATGAATAAAACATTAATGTCTGTATCCTTAGCAACTTACACAGTGCCTATAATAGGTAGGTGCTCTGAAAATATTAAGCGAAAGAACAAACAAACCATGTAATACATATGTTAGTATTAACATTGTGGTTGTCATTTCTACGAGGCTATCTCCAAATCATGAGAGTGCAGGCCTGATCTATATTATCACATGCCAGATGACATCATAATGACCCACCTTCCCAACTCTGATTGTAACCCATTAGTCATCCCATGCTCAGTCATGACTGGTAGGTACAAATATTTTTATTGTGGATTCCAAGACTTTTATCACAGCAAATACTTTGCATTTAATTATTTAGGTCAAAAGAAAATATTTTCCATTTAAAATAAGATCATAGATCATTAGCAGGCAATGTGTTTACACTGACAGTCATTCAAAACTTTTTATCTAATCCCCGAGAAAAGGGTTTGGTAACTGTGGGCCATTAAAAAAAAAAATCTGAGGCCTGGTGCAGTGGCACACATCTGTAATCCTACCACTTTGGGAGGATGAGGTGGGAGCATCACTCGAGTTTAGGAGTTCGAGACCTGCCTGGGAAACTTAGTGAGACCCCCATCTCTACAAAAAAATAGAAAACAATGATCCTGGTGTGGTGGTCCATGACTGTAGTCCCATACACTCAGAAGCCTGAGGCAGAAGGATTGCTTGAGTTCAGGAGCTTGAGGCTACACTGAACCACAATCACACCACTTTACTCCAGCCTGGATAACAGAGTGAGAACTTGTCTCTAACAAGATGAAAATAAAAAATCGGGGTCCATCACTTACTAGCTACATGATCCTGAGCAACTTATTCAAATCTCTCTGTACCTCAATTCCATCATCTTACAAAACAGGCATAATTATACTTATTTGGCAGTGCTTAGGAGAAAATGAAATTGGTTCTTATATATAAAGTGCTTAGCAAGTGTCTAAAGGGAGTAGGTGTTCAAGAAATTAAAATGCTATTTCATTCAAAGTCACCAACTAGCAGGGATGACAAAGCAATTAGTGGAGCCATCTTCCTCTCAGTTTTCAAGTCAATTTTCCTATTGGAACCAGGAAACCTCTTAAACTTGCTCACCTACCAGGAAAACGTAATGGTGGTTGATAAAGCATTCTTTGGAGGAACCAAGGTTTTTAGCAACCTCAGTAATTATGGTTTCCTTTGCTGCTGACACTTTCCTTGAAAAACAGAGAACTTCCAGGATCAATAAAACATTCTGGACAAAATGTAATCTTCCAATCATGAAGAATGAGTTCAACGAATGCCACATTTTTCATCCTTCCATTCAGTCATTCAATGATTGTTTATTGAGCATCTATCTGGTATCAGGCACTGTTCTAGCTGTTTTGCATAGGTAATTGAGGCACATGCCCTGCCCTCAAATTATTCACAACCTAATAAGAAACACTAAAACATAAGCAGATGGTTATGTTACAGAGGGGATAGAAATTTGTACAAGAAATTGTAGAAATACAAAGGACCCTATGATCTATTCTAATAGTGCGTTCATGAACAGTTCAATCCATGGGTTATATTTGAGCAACTAGTGCTCAAATGAATAATAAGAGGGGTAAGTGACTGATAATAACTCTAAGGTTAAGAGATGACTTTGATGTCTTTAATATTTGTCACTTTTTGTTTATGTCATGCCACCCTCTCTCAAACTTACATAATTATATGGTTCTATACAGAATAACACCCTATAGATTGTTACTCATTCTCATCCTTAGGCAGGAGTAATGGCAACAAGAGGTCCAGGTCCCATTCCTAGACTTTTGCATCTGAACCATCCACTTGTTCCCTTACACACACACTGTACACATGCACTAATAACCTGGGCTTTACAAGCTCCTTTGATCCAACGTTTAAAGAACAATTCATGACTCATTCCTAAGTGAAATTTTTATGTCTCTCTATGGAGTAGATGGGTGCAGATTCTTGAACAAGATAGACATCAGATGGAGGATGGGAGTACTTTTTGTGCTGCATTATGATGTGGGAGGCAGAAGAGAAAATTCTTTTTTCACTCATGAGATGAGCTGAGCATTTAAGAAAAAAAAAAAAGAGGAAAATGTAGTATATGGGCTTGAACTCAGCATGTAGATCCCAAATACTGAATGAAAGGGAGGGAAATGTATGCCACAGAGTAAAAGGTGTTATTTTCTCATCGTGAGGAAGTCCTGTCTGTATAGTGCCACAGATAGGGCTAAGGTGGACAATGATGCTGTAGGAAGCTCTATAATCATTCTGCAGAATAAAGGGGTTCAGAGCATACTGTGTACAAATAAGAAATGAAATGAGCAGAGGAGTTGGAAGCTAGAAACATGGACTTTTTATTTTAATTTTTCACCTCTAATGTCTTTTGGTATAATTTGCCTTTCATTGTAACTAATTTCTTCATTGCCACATTATCCAATGAAATACTAAGACTCAGTCTAAGAGCCAAGTTTAGTTCATTTGTGTACCTAATTGCTCCTTCCTACTTAGCCCTACTGCTATTACTATAGCCCAGCAAGATCTATAATTCAACTTTTGTGGAGGCAGGAATTATTTGACTTGAAGAGTCCAGTTGGACTGCAGAGACTTGTGAGCCATAGACAAGTGGGACGGAGGGCCTTTGGACAGGTGAAAGAGAGATCAGGAGAAGAACAAAGAAAGAAAGTGATAAGAAGGGGGAAAATAAGTGAAAGGTGAAAGGAGGATCGCTGAGAGCTGGAGACAGCAGTCCAAGCAGGTGGCAGGCTGCAGGCTGAGCAGCCTACTGGAGGTGGCGGCTGGCCAAGTAGATGGCCCACTGTGTCATGGGAGTGGGATCTAGGGTTAGGTGGAGAGTCCAGGTGGGAAGAACATGGAGAGTCCAGGTGCTTACTGGAAAGTTGTGGCTTATGAATTGAAGATTAAGGGCAGCATTCAGGAACCATTGCCCAGAAGGACTGGTAAGAGCTAAGGCAATTTCTATAGTCAGAATGGTAGGGGTGGGAAATTTCCAGGTGGAGAACTGGGACAGATGGACCCATATTAGTGAAAGTGGAACTGAAAGAGATGAGGAGACCTTGGCCCATAAGTAACAGTAAAAACTTCTCTCCTGGGACTGGGTTTCAAGCCAGAGCCAAAATTACTCCCAGGCTGACTTACTGCTAGACTGCCCATCTCCTAGAGAGGAAACTCATTAGATCTTTCAACAAGACAAAATTGGCTCTCAGGCCTAAGATAATATTCAGCATGCATATGGAAACTAACAGATTCCAATATGTGACTTCCCCCCATGTTAGTCTGTCAGGAAGATATTAGGTGGGTCTCTACATTAAGGTCAGGATACACATTTGGTCAAGATGATGGTGATGATGACCTCAATCCTCTGAAAACAATATCTGGTTCCACCTACTCTGAAGAGGACCATGGAGGAAATCTATCAAGGAGACAGTTTTACATTTTAGCTCTAATTAAGATAAACTCAGCGTGGATGCCAGACACAGATAGAGACAAAGAGGCTAGGCTTCCTAGGGCAGTTTGCCACAGAATACTCATTCCACCTTGGGCAATTTGTCCGTGTCTAGCCATGAAAGCCAGTTCCACCAGGCCAGCTCTCCATAGACTTCACCATCCTATTAATTGCAGCTGTTTAACCGAAGGTCTCTTCCTTTCTCTTTGCATTATTTCATAGTAAAATTCAAAATAGCTTCCTAGTTAAGGTTAGCCTTGAACTAAACCCTAGAATTTTCGGCACTTTACAGTCAGAGGTATGTTGGTTCTAGCTTACCTGTTTTTCTTACAGTACTTGATTATGTTGATAAAAATATTTTGAGAAGCTTCCCAGGCTGTTTGAGAAACATATAATTGGCTAATATATGTTAGAACGGTATTTGGTGGATATTACATAACCAAGGTGCTTGCCTCTCTGGTTCTCTGCTACTTCCTACTTTTCTCTTGCATCAGGGCCAGCAAAGAACAGGAATGGGGGGGATCTACTCCTGCCTTCTAGTGTGCATGGAAAAGAGGGCTCAAGCCCTCAGTGGCCCCACTCCATCCTCACCAGGCTCCCAGATGCTTTAGCCTGGGGTATAGACCAGGGCTCTAATTATAATTGCCCTCAACACAAAATGGGACATTGAACAAGCTGTGACCCCTTCCTCAACAAAAGGGCAACACATGGTTCCTGAGAGCTTTTAAGTTCTATATATAGAAGAAAGGAGGAAAAAGATATTGGGAGGAACAGAATTGATTCAAATAAAATGCTGCTAGTGGACAGATGATGTAGTTATTTGTGAAGCAAATGTTAGGTCAGGCTTTATTTTAATTTCTATTTATTGAGCATTTAGGCAGTTTCTGTGATATATTCCATATATATATATATATATATATATAAAATTATATATAATTTTTTTACAGAATCCATATGAATTTGATATTTGTATACTCAGGTTAGACTTGACCAAATAAAAAGAATGAGTGATGGCTTAAGTTTATGTAGAGGGTATAGGGCAGCACCAGGTATCTAAGCCAGGTCTGATTCCAGTGTTGCTACCTTCTTGACTGCTATGACGTACCTCCAATGGCTGAGGCATTAAACTGCTTTTTGCTTCTTACTCTGCCTGTAGATTAAAATATGAGACATCATGCCATTATATAGGCAATATCTAGAAATTGTCATGATGGGCCAATAGAAAGGAAACTCAGAAAGGAGGACAAGGAGGTAGACAAAAATTGATCTGGTTGGACATTATGATACCCAAAGAGGAATCCAAGAAACACATTGTTTAGTGAAGTGGTAGTATTTATTATTTAATGAATGAGGCTACTACAGATGGCGTTTTGGGCTTGGCCCATCAATCTGATTATGACATGGCCTTCATCAACAGGTAAGAGTACAGATAGCACAGTCCAATCTCATGAGACAAAGATCATGAGAAGAAGATCAAGTATTGGCTACATAATGCCGATGTTTGCAAAGCTGCAGTCACAGAGAATCTCAATTTCTAAGCATGAAAGCAGCCTGAGCCAACATGATAGATGACAAATGAAAAGCTGTGAAGAGAGTGTCCCTGGGTTCCTTGGCATTGTACTACCTCAAACTCTTGTTCCCATCAGCTAGTGGGCAGAGGCTGATAATGTAGTGTTTGCCTCTCCCGGTATTGTTAAGGGGACACAGCCTGTGTGAGTTTTGGCAGCTGATGTCTTTCAAAGAATTAGTCAATTTCATTTAAGCTAATAATCAAATGTGTGGGCGTAGGGTTGTTCATAGTATTTCTTACTATCTTCTTCAGTGTTTATGGTATCAGTATTGATGGCCTCTCTTTCATTTCTGATATTAGTTATCTGTACTCTGCTTGTAAAAAGCAAACAGAGGTCAGAGCTGATCTATTGCTTCACTATTTGAAGGGCTATGATTGTCATATGTTAAGAAGGTAATGCTGTCATTCTCTATCATTCAGTAGGTGGTACAGACTGGACATAATTGTTAAGAGGAAGAAAGAAGAGAAGGAATAGAATCAAACCAGAGAGGTAAGTGATAGTGAAAAACAAGAGACAAAGAGATTTAGAAAGCAGAAGGTGAGTAGCGCTGAGCTCCAACTAGGAAGCATCATCCATAGTCCAAGAACCTCAGGCTAGATTAGAGACAGTGCTATAACCCTAAGTGCCCTAGAGGGCTCCCTAGCTTTTCTTCCCTCCAGGTAATAGAATAAAGCTTTGTTTTTTTTTCTGTGTAGAGCTCTAGTTTTCGTTATATTATCAACTACTTTAGGGAAACACTTGGAGACAGGCATCATGTAGTACTTATAATTCAGATGTTGGAAAGTCCAGCAACGGCCCAACTTATACTGAATTTCTCAGAAGAGGAATAATTTATTGTAAGATTTTTGTTTAATTTTCAGAGAGTCCTATAAATGTGAGAAATATTTGATAATAGAATTGTAGAATTGGAAGGGAAATTTACTACAACAGCCATTTATTTTACAGATAAATTGACCGAGGTCCAGAAGTGTCCAGAAGTACCTATAACTATTTAGTTAATAGGTACTTCTAAAACTCAAGTCTCCAAACCCCAATCTCAGTGTTTGTCTTGTAGCAAACAAGTTTCATCCTCAAATTTGCATTCTTGAACACATGTTTTCACGTCCGTCAAGTACACAAACATGAATTCTTGCTCAACCATCCAATTATCTAATCTGCTCCCTTTACTCAGAATAAAGACTTGCTGGCAGAGGCTATGAGGGTCTGCTCAATGCTCATGTCAGTCATTCTACAGTAGCTTCAGCTGCCTCAAACTTGCAAGTGACAGTCTGTAAAACAGCACCATTCAAACCCACCAGAGAAATGACGCGCATTAAGGATGCAAACTGGAATGACAACATGAAATTACAGTTAACATTTAGTGACTATATATGCATATTACAATAACTCAGCATTTCAAAAGTAGGTATTTATCTGATGTTTCTGTCATGTTAATAAACAATTTTGTCCAAAGGATTCCCATTTACCTTTTCACCAAACAGTCAATGCAATGTGTCTTAACTTTGTATGATGCATCTTTAATCTTAATATTTTACTTATCACACAACAAAACTGAAGTATTCTATGACCAGTTAGACCAGCAGTTTAATAAACAAAAAATTGTTCAAATCCAAATTATATAGGTATTATACACACACATGTGTATGTATGGCTACAGCACATGTGTATAATACATGTATGTATGTGTGTGTATATATATCTTGTAATGTATTTATTTAGGGAAATTTTATTGAGCATTTTCTATGTGCCAGGCATTGCCGTAGGCACTGGAATACAGCAGTAAATGAGATTACCACGTTTCTTGTCTCAGGAAGTTACATTCTAAAGAAGAGAGATAGGAAATAATTTTTAAGAAAGAGAAGAGAATTTAACACAACTATGTATGCTCTGAAGGAAATTAAAGCTTATCTGAAAGTATGAAAGTTAATAGTTGTAGGCTGGGTGTGGTGGCTCATGGCTGTAATCCCAGCACTTTGGAAGGCCGAGGCAGGCAGATCACTAGGTCAGGAGTTCAAGACCAATCTGGCCAACATGGTGAAACCCCGTCTCTACTAAAAATACAAAAATTAGCTGGGTGTGGTGGTGTACTCTTGTAATCCCAGCTACTTGGGAGGCTGAGGCAGGAGAATCACTTGAACCCAGGAGGTGAGGCGGAGGCTGCAGTAAGCTGAGATTGTGCCACTGCACTCCAGCGTGGGTGATAGAGCAAGACTCAGTCTCAAAAAAAAAAGAAAGAAAAGAAAGTTAATAGTTGTAGAAGAAAGACTCTTCTAGTAAGACACACCTGAATGTATATTTCTCAATGCATTGTTGAGCTAAAAGAAAAGTTAAAAAGGTGTTTTATAGCTTATGAAATATAAGAAAGCCCAAATCAGGAGAAAGCAAGAATCGATTTTGCTTGAGGAAGTTCTACTTATTCTTGATGATCTAACACATGGAAAGTTGGAGCAACTACATGGATCTAGGTGGACTGAGGGCCAGCTTTCTCAGAAGACTGAAAGAAAGCATAAGTGCACCCTACAGTGGGAAATGTGTGGACTGCTACCCCTGTTGGTACTGTGTCTAAATAATAATTATTGTAAAAAAATCTAATGAGAATTCCAACTCACAAGACTTCTCTCGAGTTCTGAGGCTTATAATTCATACTTTCTGTGCCTCCCAACCCCCTTCCCACCAAAAATGTAATTTAAACTGGTTCTAAATTGCTAGTACTTCAGGCATTAGTCAAAGGCAAATGATTATCCTCTCTGGAATAACATATTTTAAACATAGATCTCATGTCAACAAATATTCACAGCTGGAGCACCAAGAAACGTATTCACAATACAAAGTTATTAAATCATAAAATTAACAATCATGAGCAAGAGAAAACAGAAATAACAAATTACAGAGATTAATTATGAGATCAGAGATGATCAGTATATTTTATATTTTTAAATAAATAAAAGACTATTAAAGTATAACGACAGATACTATTAAAATCAACAGGGATATATTTGCAAAAGAACTAGTTACAATGGCAAGACACAGTGATTGAAATGATTAATTCAATAGACAGATTAAACATTCAATGAGATGTAGCTGAAGAGGGAATTAGCCAACTGGATGACAGATCTGACAATATAAAATGACAATGGAATGCTGCACAGAGAGGTGAGAAAACAGAAAATTAGAGAGAGAAAGCAGAAAACTGAGAGAGTTAAAATGCAGACGACTAAGTGGGCAATTTCTAACTATGTTGTAATGATTAGGGTACAGGCCAAAGTACTGTGATTAAGACACCCTAAAATACAGTGGTTTATATAAAACAGAGTTTCTATTTTTCTTCTACAATAGTCTAGAAAAAAATGGTTTATAAGTGGTAGGAAACCTCTGCCATTCTTGATATATCTTTTCTAATGTTACTTAAATATTATTCTCTCTTACCAATAAGAATACGTGGAAATGAGAAGTTCCTTACAGTACTGTCACTCACACTAATGACCAGAACTCATAACTCAGCCGCATAAACACAATTAGCCACACTTTCAATCTCAACAATCGCAAATCAAATTTCCCTCATGCTTCCAGTGTCTATCTCTTCCACTACCAGCTGCAGAAAACTCTGGTTTTAAAGGGGTTTATAGGATTACATTACACTTATTCAGATAATCTCCTTATCTTATATTCAACTATGCCATATAGTGTAACATTATCATGGGAGAGCTATCTCATCATATTCACGAGTTCTAGAGATTAGGACATGGAACCTTGGAAGCCAATTTTCAAAATCTGCCTACCGCATAAAGTAAGCACAAACTTAAGAAGGAGATAATTTCAAAAAATAATAGTAGTAAATTAGTGAAGAATAAAACAAAGATATAATGGAGAGAATATCAAAAAAGATTAAGTGTGTCCATTGAAAAGACAAAATAGACAATTCAATTTTCCTTATAAACTAGAGAGAAAACCCCAAATAAACAATATTAGGCATAAAAAATGGGCCATAGCTACAGAGAAACACAAGTTAAAGTAATGAAATGCTAATACATTCAGAGCATATATGTAGGAAATACATTTCTAGGTAAATATAAGGAGCAAAAATAGATTTAAGAAATAAAAAGCATTAATGGTTTTAAACTCATTAAGGAAAATTGCATTAAATCTTTCTCTGAAGAAAATAGCATTCATTTTATAGGTCAACTCAACCAAACATTTATGAAACACGTAATCCCAATCTGACATCCTCACAAGATTGTAACCTGTTACCTAAAGACAGTTGAACTTGGTTAAGTTAAGGGGTTGGGCAAACAGGTAGAATTGTGGTTGGAGTTGGGGGAGATAAGTGGGTGCATGTTTATGCAAGGAGGTTGAGGACATTGTGTGCCTCTGATCTTTAGGAGAAGTGACCTTATGCTCTCTGGTCACTCACTATTTTATATGAATATTAAAAGAGTCTTGAAGGGGAACAAACAACAGGTGCCAAAAGGTACTGATAGTGCAGTCCATCCACCTTTATATCTCGGTTGTGGTGGAAGTTTGAGCTGATTTAATATAAGAGGCCTCAGACCAAAGGTTTTCTGAATTTGTTTTTATGTTTTGTTAATTTTCTTATATCTCTGTTTTTGTTCTTGTGATACTAGTTATAACCCAGCTAATCTCTTCAATTTTCTTCTACCTTAGCAGTTTGTATATGTCCTTGTTCCTCTTTTATTCAGTTCAAGATCCCCATAATTATGGAGTCACAATTTTTATAGGTTCTATGAATAACTAAATCCAGGTAGAAATCAATATCGAATGTATAGGATTTAGTTTATTCTCGTTAAGTGAATTTTGACTATTGAATGCTAACTGATATCCTAAAATAGTTCATTAGCTACTATTCCTTCATCTCATACATCTGTACCTCTTCCTGTCACCAAGTGCTCAATTTGTATTGACGAGCAGCTTCTCCACTGACAAAGAGACTGACTTTATTGCATGGCACTGAAGAAAGAAAATATGACTTGTGGATTAAAGATCCAATTTAATTCTCACTTCTTATGAAATAAATAAACAAATTGTACATCTTTCCAAGATTCTGAGGCATATATAATCGAGCCAAATTGGAAGCTAGAGGTATGTTAGGTTATAATACTAATTGCTAGACTGTGGTCAACAGGCAAGACTAGACATAATCTGTACAACATTGGAAGACACTAACATCCCAAAAAGGGTCATCTTGAAAACTACATCCCTAAAGTAAAGGCTGCAATTGAGAATTAGTAGACATAGCCAAGATACTAGGAGGCAAGAATATAGTGGGGGTGTAGAGCAAAGTTCAACTCTTTCTTGCCCAGGACTGTTTGAAGCATAGATGCTCCTTGACTTATGATGGGGTTACATTTCAATAAACCTATTGTAAGGTGAAAATATCTTAAGTCAAAAATGCATTGAATACAGATAACCTACTAAACAGCATAGCTCAGCCCAGCCTAGCTTAAATATGCTCAGAACAATACATTGGCCTGTAGTTGGGCAAAATTATCTAACACAAAGCCTTTTTTATAACAAAGTGCTGAATATCTCATGTATCTTATTGAATACTGGACTGAAAATGAAAAACAGAATGGCTGTATCAGTTGTTTACCCTCATGAATGTGTGGCTGACTGGGAGCTGTGGCTCACTGCCAGTGTCCAGCATGGAGACAGCAAAAGAGAGAGAGGGAGAATAGCACCCCATCATAGCATAGTATCCCTGGAAAGGATCAAAATTCAAAGTATGGTTTCTATTGAATATGTATCACTTTTGTACCATCATAAAGTTAAAAAATAAGTTGAAAAATAACATCAGAGACCATTTGTATGTCATGCACTCAAGCTCTGAAGTATTTTCTGCCTACAGAAGCTTAAAGATATCAACTGGATGCTGAAAGTAAACAATTTTTGGAACTGGATTATTTTTTATAGTCCTCCTCGCTCAGTTATTCTGTGATATATAGATGACTTTTACTAAAAATCTAGGAGCAACTGGATAAGCACATTGCAAATCCTGATCACTTATGAAGAGAACTTTCTGTATGAGTTTGTGAAGACAGAGTTCCATTTTGTTAGAGAAAATCAATCTTCCCTACTGAGCATTGAAAAATCTTATTAATGATACCTTCAAAATTCCACTTTGCCTCAACATTCTGGGGATTATGAGGCAGGAATCTTTTTTTTTTTTTTTTTTTTTTTTTTTTTGCCTCCTCTATGCATGACCCTGTGTCAGTTTCTTTAGCATTTTTCTCTAAACTTTGGTTTTTCCTGTGTAGAGAATATGTTAACTCCCTTTCACAGCTGGTTCATATAAATTAAATTAATTATTAAATGTATGTCTAGTAAAGTTCCCGGCAAGTTATAAATGTTACTTAAATATTATTTTTATTATCAGTATTATTATTCCCAGTAATAGTCATTTTATAGATCTATTTTATTAATTAATTATTAGCAAACATTTACTGATGCTTGGGAAGACACTGAAGTAGATGCTGAGATGGCAGCAGAAAATTTTTGCACAAGATCTGTGTCTCGGTTAGTTTGTAATATGACTGGAATGAGAAATCACATAGGCACATGCAAGCAGAGCTGCAGGCTATAGGAGCCAAAAGAGGAGCTCAGAAAGTCAAGTTTAATCTATTTCAATGATATCAGATGACAGGGCTGGAGAGAGGTCCCTGAAGACTGGGTCTCAGATGAGGTAGGTCCTGGGGTGTGGAATTAACTCACCGGTGAGGCTTTTGTTTGATTGTGTTCTTAGGAGAAAAGGCATATGAATTTATTTAATGTGTATGTACAAGAACCTTCAGAACGAAGACCCAACCCCCATCCCCCCATAGGGTACAGAAGCTTATATACCATCTTGAGGTTACAGAAAGAATGAGGTTTCAGAGAATGGCCCAGAATGGGTTATGATGACAAATCAGATTATAGAAGGGAGAAAAGAGGAGGTTTTACTAGGCAAGGTGGTCTTGTTACGTAGTTGAAACTTCACAGGTAGCAGCCCTCAGAGAAAAAGGTGGTCAGTATTTCTTTTCAGGCCTTTAGAGGAGTCAGCCTCTCTGTTAATCTTTCCTAGATCCAGACAAGGCCAGGCCTGGCTGCATTAGTGCAGATTATTTTTTTTATTTATTTTTTATTATACTTTAAGTTTTAGGGTACATGTGCACAACGCGCAGGTTAGTTACATATGTATACATGTGCCATGTTGGTGTGCCGCACCCAGTAACTCGTCATTTAACATTAGGTATATCTCCTAATGCTATCCCTCCCCCATCCATCCTCTCACACCACAACAGGCCCTGGTGTGTGATGTTCCCCTTCCTGTGTCCATGTGTTTTCATTGTCCAATTCCCACCTATGAGTGAGAACATGCGGTGTTTGGTTTTTTGTCCTTGCGATAGCTTGCTGAGAATGATGGTTTTCAGCTTCATCCATGTCCCTACAAAGGACATGAACTCATCCTTTTTATGGCTGCATAGTATTCCATGGTGTATATGTGCCACGTTTTCTTAATCCAGTCTATCATTGTTGGACATTTGGGTTGGATCCAAGTCTTTGCTATTGTGAATAGTGCCGCAATAAACATATGTGTGCATGTATCTTTATAGCAGCATGATTTATAGTCCTTTGGGTATATACCCAGTAATGGGATGGCTGGGTCAAATGGTATTTCTAGTTCTAGATCCCTGAGGAATCGCCACACTGACTTCCACAATGGTTGAACTAGTTTACAGTCCCACCAACGGTGTAAAAGCATTCCTATTTCTCCACATCCTCTCCAGCACCTGTTGTTTCCTGACTGTTTAATGATCGCCATTCTAACTGGTATGAGGTGGTGTCTCATTGTGGTTTTGATTTGCATTTCTCTAATGGCCAGTGATGATGAGCATTTTTTCATGTGTCTGTTGGCTGCATAAATGTCTTCTTTTGAGAAGTGTCTGTTCATATCCTTCACCCACTTTTTGATGGGGTTGTTTGTTTTTTTTTTTGTAAATTTGTTTGAGTTCATTGTAGATTCTGGATATTAGCCCTTTGTCAGATGAGTAGGTTGCAAAAATTTTCTCCCATTTTGTAGGTTGCCTGTTCACTCTGATGGTAGTTTCTTTTGCTGTGCAGAAACTGTTTAGTTTAATTAGATCCCATTTGTCAATTTTGGCTTTTATTGCCATTGCTTTTGGTGTTTTAGACATGAAGTCCTTGCCCATGCCTATGTCCTGAATGGTATTGCCTAGGTTTTCTTCTAGGGTTTCTATGGTTTCAGGTCTAACATTTAAGCCTTTAATCCATCTTGAATTAATTTTTGTATAAGGTGTAAGGAAGGGATCCAGTTTCAGCTTTCTACATATGGCTAGCCAGTTTTCCCAGCACCATTTATTAAATAGGGAATCATTTCCCCATTTCTTGTTTTTGTCAGGTTTGTCAAAGATCAGATGGTTGTAGATATGTGGCATTACTTCTGAGGGCCCTGTTCTGTTCCATTTGTCTATATCTCTGTTTTGGTACCAGTACCATGCTGTTTTGGTTACTGTAGCCTTGTAGTATAGTTTGAAGTCAAGTAGCATGATGCCTCCAGCTTTGTTCTTTTAGCTTAGGATTGTCTTGGCAATGCAGGCTCTTTTTTGTTCCATATGAACTTTAAAGTAGTTTTTTCCAATTCTGTGAAGAAAGTCATTGGTAGCTTGATGGGGATGGCATTGAATCTATAAATTACCTTGGGCAGTATGGCCATTTTCACGATATTGATTCTTCCTACCCATGAGCATGGAATGTTCTTCCATTTGTTTGTATCCTCTTTTATTTCATTGAGCAGTGGTTTGTAGTTCTCCTTGAAGAGGTCCTTCAGGTCCCTTGTAAGTTAGATTCTTAGGTATTTTATTCTCTTTGAAGCAATTGTGAATAGGAGTTCACTCATGATTTGGCTCTCTGTTTGTCTGTTGTTGGTGTATAAGAATGCTTGTGATTTTTACACATTGATTTTGTATCCTGAGACTTTGCTGAAGTTGCTTATCAGCTTAAGGAGATTTTGGGCTGAGACAATGGGGTTTTCTAGATATACAATCATGTCATCTGCAAACAAGGACAATTTGACTTCCTCTTTTCCTAACTGAATACACTTTATTTCCTTCTCCTGCCTGATTTTTTTTTAATGTTTATTTTAAGTTTAGGGGTACACGTGAAGGTTTGTTACATAGGCAAACACAAGTCATGGGAGTTTGTTGTACATATTATTTCAGCACCCAGGTATCAAGCCCAGTACCCAGTAGTTAACCTTTTCTGCTCCTCTCCCTCCTCCTACCCTCCCCCGTCAAGCAGACCCCAGTGTCTGTTGTTTACTTCTTGGTGTTCATAAGTTCATTTAGCTCCCATTTATAAGTGAGAACATGTAGTATTTGGCTATTACCCTTAGCAAACTAATGCAGGAGGCTCTTTGCTAAGGGACATTAATGCATGTGGGTGGAGAGTGTGGGGACACACATGGCAACACCTCTAATCATGGATCTCTGTGTTCATTAATTAAGATTCATTTAGCAGACACCCTGCTTTGTAAACTGTATTATTTCCCATGGCATAATAAGGAATATATGAGGATCTTTGTCCCTGATTGATGGCACACAGCTCCTAAAGTCCTTGGAATCTCCAGGGGATTAGTGTCTTTTGTATGCTAATGATGTGATTGGTGTCTTGGGGCTCCAGACAGCTTTAGAATGGCAACTGCTCACCAGGAAGATCAAGGCATGACTAGAAGTTGGAACTTTCAGCCTCAAGCAGTGACCCCTGGGGAGGGGAGAGATTCTAAAGGTTGAGACCAATCACCAATGGCCAATAATTTAATCAATTATGCCTATGCAATGAGACCTGCATAAAAACCCTAAACAGTGGGGTTTGGAGAGCTTCTGAGTTGCTGGGAGTGCGGCATGCCCAGAGTGATCATGGGAATTCTGCACACGCTCTCCCCCAATACATTGCATTTTGTATCTCTTTTATTTGGCTATTCCTGAGATGTATCCTTTACAATAAATAATGAAGTATTTTCTTGAGTTCTATGAACTGTCCTAGAAAAGTAGCAAAACTTAAAAGGGGATAATGAAAACCCTCGAATTTATATCCAGTCAGAAGTACAGGTGACAGCCTGGGACTTAGGACTGGTGTCTAAAGTGGGCATGGTCTTGTGGGACTGAGCTCTTAACTCATGGGCTCTGATGCTAACTCTAGGTAGATAGTGTCAGAACAGAATTGAATTGTAGGATATCTAGTTGGTTTCTAGAGAGCCGGAGAATTTGTTGTTGGTGTCAGAAAGCAGTGCAGACTATGCTCGTTAATTTGGCAGACACCTGCTTTATAAGTTGTATTATATCCCTAGTGTAAAGGAAGTTCACAGCAGTAACTCCCAATAAAGGTGTGTCTTTGTGTAATTTTAACCACTACCAGAGACAGACACACTCACTGAAGGTTGGTTTACAGTATCTGTGCAGCTGATAACAAAGCTGTTCAAAGGAATCCAGAGCAAGTTTCAGGGAGGAGAACCCAGGCTGGACTGAGAGGGAAGCTGGAAGTAGCAACAACGTTAATGACTTCATTCTGTTGGGTGCACCCAGTCAGGAATCTGAACTATCTCCTCCTCTTGGGGTCATGTTTTACCAGCCAAGGGGCTTCAGGCCAATGCTTGTGGATAAATCTCAAGAGACAGACCTTGTTATGGGGTCAGTGATGTTTGCAAGTGGCCCCTACATGCTGGCCTGGCTGCATGAATGTGAAGACGGATGGCTTTTCTGACCTAGACCACACCTACTTCATGACCTGGAAAGCTGGAGGCGACATCCTGAATTGTTAGCAAAACATTACATATTACATATATACATGTTTTCCTGACCTTTGTCAGTAGCTTTGCATCATCTGAAAGAGAGGAGAGATTTTCATGCTTGCAGAGGGATAGGAGGAGATGAGGAGGGAGGGGAGAGAGCCAGAAACCAAAAAAAGAGAAGGAGGAGACCAGTGGGAGGGAGCGCATTTGTTCCAAAAGCAATTTACTCAGTCGGTCATTTCCAGTATTCTCTGGCTATTACTAAGGTAGAGAAAGAAATACGATGCTGGACAAGAACTGTCTCTCTTCCTCAGCCAAAATTCCTGCTGACAGACTCTGCCCAGGGACCATTTCTCTTCCATGACGTTCTGCACAATGCCAGTTGCAGGAGGTGACCACGTGGCTGAGTGCAGGAGCAATGGAGATGGGCAGAGAATCCTGACCCTTCCTTAAAACCCCCATTGTCTTCTGCACTTGCAGGAGTTATTGAATGGCAAGGGCAAGAGAAGGACACCCCATCAGACTGTGATGCGAGTTTGATAAGAGGCAGGTATGCCCAGGGAATGGCCAGGGTCCACAGCCACTCTCTCACCGAGCTTTGTGAAATATTATTAGTAGTGGTGTTTTATTTATTCAGGCCCCATTCTCTGAGGATTCCAAATGCTATACAAACATATTTAAAGTAAGCATCCTGCCTTTGCTCATAAATTCTCTCAGGCCTATGTTTTGTAGCAAGTAGCAGGTGAATATGGGGCTGTTCTTTGTTCATTTGTTTTGTTTTATAAAAACAAATGTGGAATCAGAATTTGGGGATATCCAGGCAGTCCACATGTCATTGGCTGAGCAAGAGTCTTCTTTAATGCCAAAATTTTATATGCCTATTTTACACAGTAGCTTCTCCATGACCCAACTTTCCAAGTTACAAAGAAATGCACTATGTCCTCTATTCTGGTTCAATTTGGAGTTCTTAGTCAAAATGTTCTCTTTCTTATTTTCCTGACAACCTGCAAACTTGTGTCTGTGTTATATTGGCCTATGCATATAATTTAAAAACAATAACAAGAAAGAAGGAAAGAAGAAAAAAAGGAAAGAAAGAGAAAGAAGGAGGGAGGATGGCAGAAAGGAAAGGAAAGGAAGAAAACTTCGATCTTCTCTTATTCTCAGTCATTTTAGGGGCTAAAGTGAGGGAGCTAAAAATACTGTTTTCTAGAGTAGTATGGGTACTATGCGAATAAAGAGAAAGTATAAGTGTGAAATGTGACTTGTGTTACATCACTTTTGAATGCCATTAGCAAGTTCTGGGTGGTAAGAATGTTTGAGAGTAATACTCTTTAAATCACGCTCCATGAATAATATTTCCACAGGAAGTGGTGGTTGGGCTATGGAAGTCAGGGACTGGTGAATAGATACTTTACTTCCACTTTAATAGCCAATATTCTACTTTAGTTTTTTAATAATGAGCTTGTGCATACTACTTATGTCTAAAAATGTTCAGTTACTTGAAGCATAAAATAAACATTTAGCAATTACTCTTTTTAGAACAATTACTAGTATTTTATAAAAAGTAATAACGGCAGCTCTCTTAAGAGTTTATTAGCAGTGTCTGGCACAGAATAGCTGTTTAATAAATATTCACTGAATGAATATATGTATATGTGTATGACTGTCTGCTCACCCAGACATGTTCACTAAACAATAACACAAAACACTTTTACACTTGTAATCCAGAGAACACTGTAATTCAATCTAAGTTGGCTCCTTCAGACATGGTCTCATACCAACAAGATGAAGCTATTTTACCACAGGAGACTTTGCTAGAAGTTTTGTTTTTTAATGATCATCTCTGTGTTTGTTTTTAAGCCAGCCAGTAGTGTTGTAATCAGACTTTGTTTTATAGATTTTTGCTCTTAAAAATCTACTCACTATTTCTGTATCCCTTGAAAGCTGACAGCAGAACTGGCAAAATGTCAAGAATGATTCACAAAAATGCCAATACAGGATATTCTTCAACAGAAGGAATACATCTTTGGAAGATTCCCTGTCTGGGTTAATTAGTGTTCTTTCTGAATCTCTCACAGAAATATCTTAGAGCTGCCTTTATTAATGGTTTTAACTATAGTATAGAAGCCCTGACCAGGCTTTTAGTTTGGACTTAATACAGTGATATCTGCTCTGACAATCCCTGTCCTTTGATTAAAAAGGGGTTTCAAGAACACTCATCATTAGCTATTGTTATAAGAAATCAGCTCCTCAGCATGGGGTTTAGTCTTTGAAACTTTTTTTTTCCAGCCCAGAAATATGGATGGCTTTGAAAGAAATGCCCCGTGATTACCTGGAGTCAGATGGAGCATCAGCCCAGAATTCCACATGAGGAAGTCATGGGTGCTGGTTTTTTTCACTCTGCACTGCTCCCCAGAAGTTCTCTACATGAAAGGATTCATTTATTCAGAATCAACTCTCTTCCCTGTCAAAATGCATTAACCAGAACCCTGAAGGTTGAGTGAGGCTGACAGACTCTGACAATTCCCTCCCATAGAGACCCCCTTCTGAAGTTGCTGATCTTCTTTCCCCTTTACCTGCCCCCATGCTGGATTCTTGGATGTGGATGATGGGGGAGGTAATATGGGAAGAATTTTATATCTTGAGGGATACTTCTTATTCTGCGATTGTATACTGTGTTTAAAGTCATTTTATCTAGGCAGGGGTGAACTACAAATAGCTTCTCCGTATCCTTCTGTTCCCTTCTCCTTGCCCTGAGAGACACAAGTAATAATTACTTTCTAAACAATAGTCTCTGGATTTATTAAATTTCTCTTTTAATACTTGCAGATCATATTTTTGTAACACTTCTTATTCATAGCATATTCTCAAACATTTCATTTGATATAGCCAGGTAAGGTGGGGAGGAAAAGTAGCTTCTAAAAACGTGTTTCCATTTTCTTTTGGGAAATCTGAGGTTAGAGAGGTGAAGGGGTTTAAAAAGTCCAACAGTAGCATAAAAGTTAGAACCACAGTTTACTGATACTAACTTTTGTTATGTACCATCTCTGATAAAAACTCACATCTCTTAAATTCTGTTAACAGATAATTGTGCCTTTACCCTGAGTTATTTGCTACATATTTCACCCCACCTTAAAGGAGGCATCATGGAACTAGAGAATATACAAGGTCAGCAAGGCAGGATTAAGCTGCTGGGTCACAGAATGAATGGGATGAAAAGATGCAAGATTTTAGTACAGGATTTAAGTTTTTATCGTCATAAAATGTTTGGAAAGAATAGCCAAATCATTAATTTGATTAATAATTTAATTTGAACATTTGTTGAGTGTATACACACACACACACACACACACACACACACACATATATTTATTTATTTATTTATTTATTTATTTATTTATTTATTTATATGACTAGTCCTGGAACAATATTATGTGCTTAGAATACCAAGATGATATACAGTCTCTTTGGGAGAAACACACTTAAACAAACATGGAAAAATTACACCCAAAGGTCTTCTGGTTCAAGATGGCAATTTAAGCCTTATGCATTTAATTCCCCTCCCTTACAAATTTATGCTTGCACAAATATATATGCAGACCTATACATATATACATAGATATATGGGTGTCAAATAATGTGTGTGTGTATCACACCAGGATACATATTAGGAGAAATTTGCATCAGCATAGATAAGAAAAGAATCAGCATAAAACATCTTGTTTACAGTATCAAATTGAAGGCTAGACTAACCCAAGATCCAGTAACTAAGAAGCCATACTATAAAGGGGGTAAATGTATAATCTCATACCTTGGAGGGAGGGCAAAATTGGGATAAATAAATAAATCTATCATACATAGCCAACCATAACTTGGAAAGACACTTGTTATATTCCTGAAATTATTCATAAGGTTAGAATTTTATCTCATCCACTTCAACCGTTTCCTATTCTTACCTGTCACCTTTATTTTTGTCTATATGGAGTTCCATCTACTTCACCTTTGATGGACTTAATCATAGGGCTTGTAGCTGATGGACATTGTCCTAGTTTCAAGGATGGGCTTTGTGATGTATTCTGTGTTTCGGCTTACCATCTTATGCTCCTGCGATCCATCAGGAGGAGTACATGGCTCAGGTGTCTGTTGCCTGCAAAAGAAAAAATGGTTGGAACAATGCTAATCTGACCTGTAGCCAAGCCCATCCTATCCTAGTAAAGCCATACCTGACTCACAGAAGCAAGGAAAATAAGTAGTTACTGTTGTAATCCATTAAGATCTTGAGGTTGTTTGTCACACAAAATGATTATGGTAATAATTGACTGATACACCATGGCATAGGGTGCACACTTTTTAAAGTAGGACTTTACTGAAGAGGGTTTGTTGATAAGTGTCTTAGTTCATTTGGGCTGCTACCACAAAATGCCATATAGCTTATATAAGTAGCTTATAAACAACAGAAATTTCTCACAATTCTGAAGGCTGGAGGGTCCATGATCAGGGCACTGGCAAATTCAGTATCTGGTGAGACTCTGCTTTCTGATTTATAGATGGCATCCTCTTACTGTGTCCCCATAGGATAAAAGGGAAAAGGCAGCTCTCTGGGCCTATTTTATAAGGTCATAATCCCATTTATGAAGGTTCCACCCTCATGATCTAATCACCTCCCAAAGGCCCTGCCTTCTAATAGCCTCGCATTGGTGACTAGGCTTCAGCATGTTAATTTGGGGGTGGTGGCACACACATTCAAACCACGGCACACACATTCAAACCACAGCATTGAGCAAAGTCATTTCAGTTAGGGATATGAGGCAGTAGCCCAGCTAACTTCAGTGTTACAACCAACTTGAGGGAGTAAAAACAAAGAAAGAACTATCTTGTAAATAGCAGCAAGGTTTGTTACATTATATTCCTCTTTCCAGTTGCTGTAAACCAAGTGATATGCCAACCAGGCAGTAGGGTCCATCAGTGCAGGCAGCAGGAGCTGGAGGAGAAGGGGTGGGGCATTGGGGTCAAGTCTGATCTTTTAGAAATGTAATTGGAGCAGAGAGTGGACCGAGGCACACAGAGCTTGCCCTGTTGGTGTGCCTGGTTTTGGAGGAAGCCTTCCTGTAAGAGTCTCACAACATGGACATTTGCATTGCCCAATAAACAATAACTGAGTCCCTGATAAATGTTGGCTGCTACAACAGATGCAAGTGACAAACACCCACAAACAGAGAAATAAACCCGTGTCAGAAGACTCAAACCTTCCTACTGCATGAATGCCTGTAACTTTAGCTCCCTTCCTACTCCTCACTTACAAGGACTGGTATCTTTATCTGGCAATGTAAAAGTACAGGAAATAGAACAGAGTAGACAGGCCAATGTCAGTGGCTTGTTGAGAAAATGTCCCCATTTTATTTGGCATTATTCGTGAGACTGTCTATGGTCAAAGAGCCCCAGAGTAAGAGTCCAAGCCTGGGACTCTCAAGGATTTTCCTGGTGTCCATGCTGAAGTCATTCAAATTGTGAGATTTGGACTCTCTTGATTGCCCAGGTCTTACCCATTTCTCCAATTCTGCCATGAGTGTTTTGGAGATCTGGGGGATTGCCTTCCCATGCATTGAATCATAGGCTAGTAATTTTTCAATCTAGTAATCCAAGACCTATAATAAATCTTGGAAAAACACCCTCACAATATTGAATATGTGAATGGCATCCTTCCCTGTTTGGTAACACTGATGCAGTTTTTTAAAATGTATATGTTTTTACATAACACTGTGAATATAAATGGAAATTTACTATGGTGTAGTTAAATATATAAGCTCTGTTTACCATCTTGAATGGAAGCTTGGAGGCATTTCCAAAGTCTCATGGACAAAACTGACAATGGAATATATATGGGAGTGATTTGGAGGTTATGTTTTGTTTGGGAGGCTAAGAGATGAAATTATATAAAGAAAGCACATATTGAAAGAACTAACAAAATTCTATGTAGTCTTAACATTTAGGGGCTAAATAATGGAAATGACTCTACATGAGGAAACTTAGAAAGAATTGTTTTTTCAAAGTTATAAGGAGAAAATTCAAGATATTGCACAGTCCTGGGAACCAAGAAAAGAGATAATTGAGAAAGTTAGTGGGTGATGCAAAGTGACAAATACTGTTGGAAAATGGGTGTGGCGCAGGTTAAACTGGCCATTGGATTGGCAGGTTGTGTAGTCCTGGAAGATCAGTATCAGGCAGGAGCCTGGGCCAGACTGCAGTGTTAGGAAATGAATGAGAAAAGAGAGGATAGGATGAAGTCAAACACATTTTCAGGAATCCAGTTAGCTGGCCATCGCTCTGCTGTATTCTAATTGTCTGTTTACTTGACTCTCCTTCCCAAAGGGTGTTAAGCTGTTGAGGACAGACACTATATTTTTAATCTGTATAACCAGCATCTAACACAGAGTCTGGCACATGGTAAACATTCACAAAGTCTTCCTGAATGAATGAATTACCAACCCTGGTGGCTGGTAAGTGCCATGTTGATAGACATTCATGTCACCTTTAGCAAAGAAGCTGGGAAAAGCATGATACTCCCCAGGAAGGGTTCTCCAAAAGCCATAGCGAAACTCTTTTTTTGTGCAACCCAGAATAGACACATTGCTGAAGCTACAGTCTGCAGAAACTGCAAGGGTAATTTTAGGTCATCAGGATGTCATTTCCCTAAATGGAATAACTAGTCTCTTGCTGGTTGAAAATCAAGTGTATTCTTGTCAGAGAGCTTTCGGTGCAGATACTGGAGAAGGCCTTGCTGGTTTGAACTAAAGCTTTCAGTCCTCATTCTATAAGCATTGGTTTTGGATCCACATTTAAAATGAAAAATGCTATTTAAAAATATCTCATAGTCCATTAAGTTCATCGTTTTGTCATCTTACCATCTCCTCTCAAAAGCAAGTGCTGGGCTGCGTTTCTCTAAGTGGCTTTTACAATGACATAACACACAAAAGCTGATTGTCTCTTCTTGAAAGGGTATGATCTTCCCATCTCAGAATAGGTCACTTTTTAGAAAGCATTGTTCCAATCCAGCTAATTTCAGTCTGATCATTTTCTTCCGTTCAATCTTCTAAAAAAGCATCCACTTTGCAACTCCGAATTCCATTCTCATTTTTTATACTTCATCTCTCATAAAGGATTTTTTTCTCTTTTTCCCACAGATACTAGTGTAGTCGTATATCTACATACATTCATTTGAATATATGTGTGTGTAAATATATAAAACAATAATTTTTTACACATGCAGATATTTTACCATTAAGAAGATTATAAGAAATAGATGAATTAATTCATTTGGCCACAAAGAGTGAGAATGCTGTCTAAGTGTCCTGCTCCCTCAAAGGCAAATGGGTTCAGTCTTCACCTCCTATCTTCTTTCCTATTTAGAATGAACAGACCGTAAAGATATTAACATCTCTCATTAAGTTTTCTTCTAGGTCTGGCAAATGTGCTAAAATCCATTTGGTTTCAGTCTGACATGAGGGTCCACCCTGATATTGTGGATAATAACCTCAGTCACAGAGAAGTACTTAAACTGATAATGCCTTTAGGATTAAAACTAAAGCATTTTTCTCTCTTTCCCTCCTTCCTCATCCTCATACTTTCCAACCTCTATTCCATCCAAGTGTTTAAGTATTTGTTCTATTATATGGAATCAAAATTATCACCAAGGTATCTTTTACTATCTAGCTTACCACCTTTTCCTCTATGATGGTTCCTTAACTATTTATATTCATAGGGATCTCTTTTGACTCTAAAATTAACCAGCTCTTATTTTTCCTTACCTCTGTATTCTTTATATATTACCTTGACATTTTGTAATAGCGTATGGCTGTATTCTGATCTTTTTAGGCTCAGGGATATTGATTTTTTCAGCTCTGCTTCTCCTTCAATCCTAGGCAACACATACACATAGTAGGTATTCAATAAACACATCTATTTGTTCAACAACTAGGTCAGCTTTTAAAACCTTATTTTTAAATGTCTGATGATGGCTTTCAATTTTGCCTAACCTTTTGTGAAACGCCTCTGCTAGGAAACAAGTTTGGCTTGATCCCTTAGGACTTTTCTCAAGAACAGATTTGTATTACTTCAAAATGGCAGACAACATTTGGTTGCAATGTTGGTAATCATTAAGATAATACGTAACTACTTATCTGAAAGTATCAAAAAATCACAAGTATTTGTCGAATAATTAATGATTTCTGAAAACATTTGATTCATTTTGTTGCACAAAGCAATAATTTACAGTGTGTAAGCCAAGTGTTACTCCATAGTAGAGAAAAGTGAAATGTCTTTATCTGCTGAATGTCACAAAGCCAGCAAATAGCAAACTAAAACAGGAAAACAAGTTTCTTGGCTCCAAGATAAGTGAAGTTTCATTTGTTGTTTGCTTGCTTTCCTTCACCAAAGTTTTCTCCTACATGTTTAAAAAAGTTCCTGTGCTCTTTCATTTGCTTCCCTAAAACTTCAGGGAATTTCCATTGTTCTTATTTAGTTTTGTGCCCTAATGTGGTGTCTCTGTCTTCTGTGGCTATATACGTGGTTCTCTCAGAGTGAATTGTTTTTTTTTTCTTTGTTTAGCAAATTTGTAGCATGGTATTTTAAACACAGTCCTTCAAATAAAAATTTAAAAGGTTGGCATGTTAGGGCTGACCTTTACACAGAGTGAATCCGGCTTGACATTTCCCATGCTTGAAGATGAGACTTCTCCATGATTGTTTCCTCTCCCCACCCTCCCTGCCTTAATTATTCCTGATCTCTTCCACTAAAACTTTGCTTAGGTGAACTCCATTGTACCTTACCAGAGGTCTCCCAGAAGAGCAGGTCAAAAGCAATTACCGTAACAAAGGCATTGGCTTTTTCTTACCACAATCAAGTCTTCTAGGAAGGGTACTTTCCCTGCCCTTCTGTGTCAGAGTTGGTACATAAAGGGTCTACAGCATAGTCCAGCATATGACCTTATACAACACGTGCTCCACAAATAGTGTCATCGTTGCAGCTGAGTCCTTAAATTCTCCTAGTGGAAGGAAGACACTAAGCATCAAAGCAGGATGAGGTATAGCTCTGTACTGCTTTGAATAGTGCTCGCCCCTCACCCAATGTATGTGTATTTAGAACCTCAGAAAGTGACCCTACTTGGAAATAGGGTCTTTGCAGATGTAACTGGTTAAGGTAAGATGAGGACAGACTGGATAGGATGGGGCCTAAATCCAATATGACTGGTGTTCTTATCAGAAAAAGAGAGGGCTTAGAAAGATACAGACACAGAGGGAAGTTGGCCATGTGAAGTTGGGGGCAGAAATTGGAGTTATGCAGTTGTAAGCAAGTAATGCCAGGCATTGCCAGCAATACCCGAAACTAAGAGAAAGGAATGGAACAGATCCTTCCGTAGACCCTTCAGAGAGAGACTGGCTCTGTGGATACCTTGGTCTTGGTCTTCTAACTTCCAGGAAGAAGAGAGAATGAATTTATGTTGTTTTAAGATGTCTGGGTTTCAGAATTTTGTGATGCCAAACGGAATAAATAGAAGATTCTACTTTTGAAAGACTTGTGCCTTCTTAGAGAGGATAGCCTATCTACAGGACCTAGTGCTGGGCAATAGCTGCCCTGGTAGTTTAAGAGTGGCTTAGACAATTTAGAAAAGTGAGTCCTCAGTGAATACCGTGGTCAGCATAGTGACTATAGGAAGGTATGTGTTGAGATTGGCTTTGCATGTTAAGCGGAACAGAGACAATTATAAAGAATGGAGAGGAGATACATTCCAGGGAGATGACTTGTTTGCTTCATATTGAATTTGGGGAAGAGGGTGGGGACTGTGGAGGGCCTTATACTAAGAAAAGGTGCAGGTTTTAAAACTGTACCATTTAGATGGTGGGGGTGGGGAAGCATTGAAGACTTCTAAACTTTAAGGAGAGGCATCTTTCATCCTTTCACTGATTATCGATAAGGTTACTTTTCCATCCATTTCTCATATATTAAAAATGATAGGCAAGTCTGTATTGCTTAGAGGCGGGAAAAAGAAGCCCAAGCTTTGATTTTTCCTGACACTTTATTTTGAATGAATCACTGTCAGTTCTGGTTAGCCAGCTCTAATTTGACACAATCAATGAGATACAGTCATGTGTTGCTTAACGACGGGGATATGTTCTGAGAAATGCATCATTAGGCGATTACATTGTTGTGTGAACGTCGCAGAGTGTACTTACACAGACTTAGATGCCGTAGCTTACTACATACCTAGGATGCAGGGGACAGTTTTGCTCCTAGGCTAAAAACCTGTACAGCATGTTTCTGTACTAAATACTGTAGGCAATTATAACACGATGGTAAGTATTTGTGTATCTAAATATAGAAATGTTACAATACAAATATAGTATGAAAGATAAAAAATGGTACACCTGTATAGGGTGGAAATTGCTCTGGGAGAGTTAGTGAGTGGTGAGTGAATATGAAGGCCTAGGACATTACTGTACACTATACACTATCACTTTATAAACATTATAGACAGAAGGCACACTACATTTATAAGAACTTTTCAATAATAAATTAACTTTAGCTTGCTGTAACTTTATAATCTTTTAACTTTTTTAAAAAATTTGACTCTTTTGTAATAACATTTAGCTTAAAACACAAACACATTGTGCAGCTGTACAAACATATTTTTGTGTCCTTATTCTATAAGCTTTTTTTTCTATTTTTAAAATGTCTATTTTTTTAACTTTTTAAAATTTTTGTTAAAAACTCAAACACAAACAACACACGTTAGCCTCGGCCTACACGGAGTCAGGATTATTAATATCACTGTCTTCCACCTCCATATCTTGTCCACTGAAAGGTCTTCAAGGGGCCATAACACATATGGAGCTGTCATCTCCTCAGGTAATTACGCCTTCTTCTGGAGTACCTCCTAAAGGACCTGCCTGAGGCTGTTTTACAGCTAACTAT